>NC_000009.12:41059976-41225986 GCF_000001405.40 Homo sapiens
AAATGAATACAAAGTTTGTAATCTAATACAAAGTTTGTATTAGCTTCACAAGGCTGCTATAACAAATTGCCATAAACTTGGTGGCTAAAAGCGATTAAAATTTTTTCCCTTACAGTTCTGGAGGCCAGAAGTTCAAAATCAAGGTGTCAGTGGGGGTCTGCCTCATCGAAAGGCTCTAGGGGAGGATCCTCCCTTGCCTCTTCCAGTTTCTGTTGCCTCCACATATTTCCGAGCTTGTGTTCACATCACTCCAATCTCTGCCTCTGTTTTCACATCACTTTCTTCTCTGCGTGTCTATGTCTTCTCTTCTGTTCACCCTCTCTCTACCAATTAGCCCAGGATAAATGCCATCAGAAAAGGTATGGCTTTCAAGATCTAGTCATTGATAAAAAGAAATATAACTTTTGGAAGCCCTTTTGTATAAAGAAAAAGCACTCAACTTGAAGTTAAAAGGCATAGGTATGAGTCTTGACTCTACCCCCTGACATAGGATCAATCATTTAACTTCTCTGAGGCTCTGCATCTTTATCTGAAAAGCCAAGGAAGAAGAGGGTTGTTAAAATCCACCGAAGATCAGATTCTATAAACAAAAACTCTTTGTTAAATTAACCATGACACAAATTATTCTATTGTCTTCCCCGAATCCCACAACCCCCTCCAACATTTAAAATTCATCTTTAGATAACAGATTATCCCTTAAAGTACCATTTTACTCTCTGAAAAAGTCCTAGAAATACTACCCTCTGTCAATGCAGCAGACCGCTACCTTGCAAGGAAAAGATGGTCTACTTACATAATTATCCTTAGTTATGTTTACAACATTGAAGCAGGCAATATCTGACTTTCATTCCTGAGTGAAATCCAGACCACAGCCCAGGGAGGACCAAGCCATGGCATTCTGTTGCTCCCCACTGAACGTCCCACACCATAGGGTCTGGCTTTGGCTGGAAGAAGGGCAACCTCACCCAGTCCTCCAGAAGGTGCACACACCCAAGTGGATGCTACTGCCATTAAGGGGCATTTCCTTCAACTCCCACGTGGAAAAGGGGGCAAAGTGGACCCTAGTCCACTGTCACTCACACACATGTACAGATCCCAGGGTCCACACAGATACAGATCCCAGGGTCCACATCTATCACATATATGAACATTATCACACAGACCCCTGCAGACACATCTGTGAGGCATATGCATTCCCAAACACACAGACAGACTCATGATAAATTTGTTCCTACCCAGCCATGACTTCTAAATGCTTGGGGAAACCAAGACATAGTAGAAAGGAGTGTGCAATTATCATTTCCCATGATGCCGTTACTTAAGAACTCTTTGTGTCCGTCCTTCTAATGGCACCAATGCCTCCCATCAAGCCTTAAACCTCACCTAAATTATGTCATTGGGCTTTTTCATCCATAAATGAGCATACCAGGTGCCAAGGGAATCAATATGCCATTTCACATGCCTTAGACCAGTGTCCAAAGAAAGATAAAATGTTATTCTATAAAAGCTTTCTCCCAGCATTTCTATTCCTTTACATTTTGTGCCATATACAACTATGGTTTTTTAATGATCTTATTTCTGACAGCTGTTTTTCTTCAGAACATCAACAGCTTCTTTCCTAAATTAGTTTTAGTATGAGTTCCATTTCTAATTAGCTCAAATTAAAGTCCTAGAGAGCAGCGAGGTAATATTTAAACCCTCAGGCTAAAATTTCGGAGTAGGTGCAGAATGTTGACTCTAAATGAGTTTTTCCTGTGACATAACACGCATGAAAGCAGGATTTCTTTCATGTGTGAAATGTCTTAAATCAGACTTACCCTTTGTGATTCTCTTTTAGCTTTAAATGTCATTTAAGAAGAAAAAAGAAAAGAAAATTAAGCATGACATTCCCCAATATCCTCTGCTCACTGTGTTATAATCCCTATCACTCCACAAGTGAATTGGAGAGAGTGAAGACACAATGAACAGAAACTTCCCTGATGCTTCACAGAGGAAGTGTTCTCCGGGACCACACAGCCTCCACCATGTCCATCTACGAAGGGCTGTGGCAAGCCATATACACAAAGATGCCTGTTTCCTGTCTTCTCGGTTAAAAACAAAAACAAAACACCGGAAAAAGCCAAGCTGCCATGGGTTGCAGAGTGCCAGCCCTTAAGTAGTGTTGTTCATGGGTAAACAGGAGACGGATAAGGGCAATTTCAAGAAATAACAAACTCAAGGCATGAATGTGGTTATCCAAACATCAAGGGACTCCTTCATTTGCATTTGGATAATTGTGCAGTTATATGATTTGTTACATGGAGACCAGATGGAAGTAAGAGAGCTCATCCTCAACTTCCTGTACCTCTGGAAGTCTTTACACACATGCTGGAGAGATAGAGGAGAGTTCATTAGCATCAAACCACCATGGATTTCATAATCAATTCCTAATATCTGAATAGATGCAGAAAAGTCACAGGCATCTAGAAGTGTGGCCCAAGTTCTGTTCTTCAATCAGCCCACCCATTATCCCTATGTATCTCGATTTTGTTATCTAAAAGATCACATGATGGAGGATGTAAGCAAGTAACACAGCCAAGACCCAGTTTACAGTGTCTAGTACCTAACAGACTCTTGACACGTTTCACTTGCCCTTGAGTCAGTCTTTCCATGTCACTGAATATTCTTCCACAACACGATTTTAATGGATATAGTCGTCCATTGTTTAAATGTACCATTATTGACCAATGTAAAAATGTTCTTTTACCTCAAATTTTTATATGTAAAACAAAAACATGTTTGAGGACTAAACCCACAGTGTAGTATAAATTAAACTGGATGTAGGCCAGGCATGGTGAGTCACACCTATAGTCCCAGCACTTTGGGAAACCAAGACAGGAGGATGGCTTGAAGCCAGGAGCTCAAGAGCAGCCTGGGCAATACAGCAAGACCTCATCTCTACAAAAAAATAAGAAAAATTAGCTGGCCATGGTGGCGTGCACCTGTAGTCCCAGCTTCTTGGGAGGCTGAGGTGGGAGGATCCACTAAGCCTAGGAGTTTAAGGCTGCAGTGAGCTTGGATAACGACTGCACTCCAGCCTGGATGACAGAACAAGAACCTGTTTCAAAAAAGAAAAAAGAAAAAAAAAACCTAAAAACTAAAAACTGGATGTAGTTTGCTAATAACTAAACAGCAAATTAATTGTAACATGCTTACATATCAACGATGTCTTTCTTCTTTAATCATAAACCTGCTCACTAAGAAGTGCTGAAGTCCATGGTAGTGACAGGTACATGTCTGCATCCTTGTCCTGACCTGCATCTTCTTTGATTGTCCCCATCTGTGTCTCCGACTGGCACTGCCGAACCGGCTTGCTACCTGATCAATGTTGTACTGAACCAGACTGCTAACTGATCAATGTTGTTGAGCTCACTGCACAAAGCTGTTCTTACAAGGTAGATTTCTGCCTGGAATAGTCATACTTACACTGTTTATATTCCTTACTCCTGACGCATCCAACGCAGCACAAGTTCTATTTATTGCCATAGAAACATAGGTCATTTGGAAACACCTCCTTCATTTCTATGGAATGTTCAAACATTTCTGACATTTTGGACTCTGTTCTAGCCTCTTGTTAAATATATCCAGAAAAGAGACAAAGCTTTATGGGGGGGCTATATGCACACATATGCTATAGAATAAGCTATCTAAATGCTTAAAAATACTTTCCATCTGGCACTGCACCTTAATAGGTAGACAGAAATTAAGTATGTGTATATCTATCTGTATAGATACGTATAAATATATATCCCCAAAACAAAAACTCATTCTCTTACTTATACATAGGTAGAATATAGGTGAATATACATATACATTCATAGGTAGAACAAAAAAACCCCTCAGCCTCTTTAGGGCCATGTGTTTTCTCTGAGTAATTGTCACAATTAATTAAAATACATGTGTATGCCTTTTTAGATAAATTCCATCAGACCAGTTTCTGTCTGGTTGGAAAGTAATAACTGCCTATTTGCTAAGTGCCCCTGCCCCCATACTATGTTCCAGTGAACTAAAGACCTCTGGCAATCATAGATTTACAACTCAGCAAGATTAAACAATTTATTGTTATTTATGACATCCAAGCTGGATCTTCTGTATTATATTCCACATTAGCATCTATCACTTTACATTTGGGAGATCCTGTCCAAAAAAAGATTATGCCTCCTAACCAAACATTCAGCAGGGCTGCAGGAACAGGCCCCCTGAACAAACATCCTGCCAAAGTACTTTAAAGCACCGTAAGCTCCCACAGCTGTGCATTTTCAGACGACTCAGCAGATTAGCGTGGAGTCTCTTAGCCTCTGCTTGGTCTGTTCCTTTCAGTGATCTCTCACATGGCCCAGTCCATTCGGTTTGAAAATCCTCATGAAATGAGCAGATTAAGATCTGGCTTCAGTAGAGGGCCAAGGGGTGGGCATGGAGGGGAGAGGGTTTGCTCTTAACACAGCCTGAGCCTCAGAAAGGTTTCAGATGGAAAAGCATGGCACTGACTCAGCTCATGCTTAACAAGAAATAATGCACAGACCACAGCAAAAAAGCCCTTTATGTTGTGTGAAAGTCTATGCCGGAGCAGCTGCTGCCACCTCATGTACTGTGATAGAGTGTGCATGTGTGTGTGTGTGCATGAGTGTGAGTACGCACACAAATGTGTGCTGGGAGGGGGAGGAGCTCACACCTTCCACAGTCGCCACCTCAGCCTTAGCTAGCAGCATGGAGAAATGCCAAAAGTCAAGAGGAAGCTGCACCAAAGCAACTGTGATCACCACATCAGCAGGCGCTTTCTGGTTAGTAAAGCTACTGGGACTGAAAAACACACACGATCTCGTCCTTCTTTTATTTTAATCAGAGCAAAATATTTTTATAATAATTGTGTTATATGAATAAATAATTCATAATGCTGTAACCCATTATCACATTCAATCCTCCCAACAACCCTAGAAGATATGTAGACAAGTATTATTACTTTCCCTATTTTTATAAATGAGGAAATAAACCCCAGGAGGCTAGGCGACTTCCCCACGGTCATATAAGTTGCAAACAGTAGTATCATGATTCAAATACAAAGCTTCTCCTTTTGTCTTTATCATTTTAATTCTGAAGGTAATGCATATGCATGTATGATCTTTTAAATCCAGAGATGTATATGGAATAGATAGGAAAAGGGACTCTCCTTCCCCATTATACACCCCCTCCACCCAAGCTATATCCACTGTTGACTAGAGTATGTCCTTTCAATCCTATTTTCTATGCCTACATTATATACAGAAAAGCAGGATTACATTACACACAATATTCCAGTCATTGCTGTTTTTCACCAACAAGCTATCATTCACATCTTTTTCATACTATACATAAATTTATATCCTTTATTTTAGTGGTGTATATTGTGCGGTTGTGTCATAAATTATGTACCTGTTCTCTGTTGAACATATAGATTTTTTTCTGAGTTTTTCCTTAGCAAAATGCTGCAGTGAGTACCCTTGTACATAGATGTTTGTACATTTGTTCTAGAAAAATCTACAGTAAAGATTCTTAGATTAAGAGATTCCCAGGTTATTAGAAAACTTCTCTATTAATTTAGATATATACTTCCAAATTGCCTGACCAAAAAGTTATGTCAATTTAACTTCTATGAACAGTATACAAACATGACAATTTTCCATCACCTACACCAACTCTGGGTAATTTCATCTTTTTTACAAGTTGATGGATTGTTTTAATTTATATTTCTCTGGTTATTAATAAGGTTGGCCACCTCTTCATGTGTTATTATTGATGATATTTGTATTGAATTGTTTGAATTTTCTTGATTTGGAAAACCTTTTTACATGTCATAGATATTAAATATTTGTTGTAAAACTCTCCTTCCAGTATTTTGTATATGTTTGGTCAAGTAGAATAAACTCTTGTCCTCTGATTTCAGATTCCTTTCTCTTTCCATTAGAAATCCCTAAATGTAAAACTACATATTGATAGCTAAAAACCAGGATGTTTACTAGAGAAAAAGAATACAAAGGCAATAACTAAATATTATATTTATACAAAATACCTACTAGTACAAACTTAAAAAGAAAAAGTAAAAGTCAAATGCTTCTACGACTTCAGACTAAGAAAAAGAACTTTTGAGGTTGAATGTTCCTGAAATTTTTCTTTTCATACAACTATGGACATGACTTCAAAAGTTGATGTTACTAAAAATGTAAGATATGAAAGATATTTGAAGACTCAGAGAAGGTGGATTTTCATTTTAACAAGTCACATATATATTCTAGATATCCTCTTATTCGTAACTAAGAGAGTCAAATCAGATGAAAGAATCTAAAAATTTCCCTTTGACTGTGTTAAGTAGAAGTAGTAGAGGCATATTGGCCAAATCTTGAGTGTTTGCAAATTGACTCTTAAGGCTATAGCCTGGCACAGGTCATTGAAGCCCTAGCTTTTTATCTTTAATTTTAAAATCCCCAAACAATTTATACTAATTTTTCTTGTCCATTATTTCCAAATAATCTTGTTTAAATGTTATTACAGTGCTTGCTCATGTTACTGTTGTCTAACAGAAGGGTATCCGGGGCCTTAAAACTGAGAGGGTTAGGATTAATGATTCCAATACCTATGCTTGGACATCTCCAAAAGTGGGTTCCAACTTCTTGTCCTCAAGTCTGTATAGAAACTAGCAAACTTCCAGAGTTCACAAAGGCTCAAAGAGAACAGATGTTTTATAGAAAATTCTTAGAGCAAGTTTCATGCATAATGTTGCTGATGTGTGTCTGCCTTTTCAATAAACATCACTATGCTTTATCACAAGATTTAATAAAGCAGCTTAGTTAAAAATGCCATCTGGGTCTCTGGACACATTAAACAAAGCTTAAAATAACCACCCCAGCAACTGGGAGGACCCAGCTGTTCTCATAATCTGTCCCACTCCTTTTACTTCCCCATAAAAAGAGTGAATGAAGACCACAGACTAAAAGCATCCAGAATGAACTGACACAAACAGGGAGATAGATGGAGCCGAGGGCTCCTGTAAGTTTGCTATTGCTCACATAATAGATTTGCTAATTCCACAACCTGGGGATGGTGATTCAGAAAGGGAAGCAGAAAGAGGGAAGAGAGAATCATAGAAGGGCTCGTTCAAGTTTTCTAATGTATCACAAACCTGTCCTCCCTAATGTCTGGATCATAGCAGCCCATTCCATTCACCTATTCTGTAGTGAACTCCAGTAGAAAATACAAAGCCATCACCACCCAGTTCTTTCTCCCTTCTAGAGATGAGATATTAGCCACCCAATCCCAGATTCTCAGATCCATTCCAGGAAAGAAGCCCTAGGTATTGAAGCACAGCTTTCCCTCCCTCCCTTCTTTCTTCCACCCCAAGATTTGTTCCCCAGATAGTTCTAGTAAATGTAAAACCAAGTATATTCTCATTCTTTAGAGCAACCAGCTTTTCATGGCCAACTGGAATCAAATACAACCTGCACAAACATCTATCTGGAGGACACTCCCAAGGCTCCTACTGAGCCAGCCTTCTGCATACCACTGCATTTCAGCTTCCTAGTTCACAAGACACTGAGACATTCTTGAATTCTGCAAGGTGCACTGTGTGTTAATACCATTGCTGCTCATCATGTGGCCAATAAAGGGCATGACTAGTCAACAAATAAATTTTCTCTTGGCTAAAACTTGCAACAAAACTGTAAGCTGTTTACCAAGGGGCCCACTACAGGTTATATTCAATACATACAGTCAAATCATAATTATCTGAGATATATTCAGTTGACCATACACCTTTATATTTCAGTAAAAGGTCTTTACATTTCCCAGTGCTATCAATGTTACAAAGTGTTTTCATATGCAGTGCTTCATCTGATTTCCAGGATAATTAAATGATCCTGTCATACCTGATTTTTAGATGAGGAAACAAGTGGTTTCTGGGTATTTCAAGAGGCTAACACATCTGCCCTCCAACTTGTATGTGAAAACCAAAAACAAAATTCCAAGGCCCCTCAACCATCTGAATGGACTTTGACTCTTTTGGTCAATATATGGCAGAGCTAGGAAAAGAAGGTGAGTCTTCCAGCTGCTGATACAGGGTTTTTTCTGCCATACTCCATTACCTCCAAGGCTAAAGTCAAAAGAGGGTGTGGTTATCACATGAAAAAATCTGGTTTGGATTTCCCAAATGTGTATGTAGTATTTGGTGATTTACCTTAATTTAACCTACAGTTCTTGTGGGTTGTAACAGTCTGACTCCATTTTTGAAAACAAAACAAAATCGATTTTAAATGCTGAATTATAGATCTTTGCTGTCCAGTATGGTAGCTACTAACCACTTATGGTTATTTGCATTTCTATTTTAATTAATTAAAATTAAGTAAAATGCAAAATTCAGTTCTTCAGTTGCTCTAGTCACATTTCAAGTGTTCAGTAGTCACATATGGCTAGTGGCTGGGACAATGCAGATTACAGAACAGTTCCATCATCAAAGAAACTTCTATTGAACAGTGCTATTATATAATGTCATCTCCAGAGAAAGAAGACTTTAGAAAAAGTCAGAAACGGCCGGGCGCAGTGGCTCACACGTGTAATCCCAGCACTTTGGGAGGCCAAGGCAGGCAGATCCCTTGAGGTCAGGAGTTCAAGACCAGCCTGGCCGACATGGTGAAACCTCGTCTCTAGTAAAAATACAAAAAAATTAGCTAGGCGTGGTGTTGCATGCCTGTAACCCCAGCTACTCAGGAGGCTGAGTTGGGAGAATCACTGGAACCCAGGAGGCGGAAGTTGTAGTGAGCCAAGATTGTGCCACTGCACTCTAGCCTGGGTGACAGAGCAAGACTCCATCTCAAAAAAAAAAAGAAAAAAAGAAAAAGAAAAAGTCAGAAACATCTTGAGGCAGGCACAGTGCTGTCATCTGTCCAATATTGAAGATGATTTAAGAATAAGAAAGAAGAAGAGAACAAAGAAGAGAAAAAGAAATTGCCTTAGGTGTACCCACCCAGAAAAGGACAAAGGCATTCCTGTAGTCATTGTGTTGTATTTTAGCTCTTAAACTTTTTAAGAGATTAGAATAATTTGACACATAGAAGATCTAAACCACTGAAGAGGCTCTGAAGCAGATAAAAGTAGAAAGAAAATAAAAAACTAATTAGTTACAAATTAAGCTTAACCACAATTCGTTTAAACGATACTATTTACTCTTCACATGATTGGTTTTTCTTTTGCTTTATAGTATGACATAGTTTATATCTTTAAAGGGGAATTAAAATATTTCTGGGAATTTTTAAAAGTAAGTTCACACAGCCACATAAAAACTACAGAAACAGACAAAACCTATCTTCTCATTTATTCCCTAATCCATTCAAATTAAATATAAAAATCCAAGCATCCACAGTGATATTCAAAAAAGCAAAAGTGAGACAAAACAAAATTCATTTGTCACCTGTGGAGGTAGTTACCTCACCTAATCTTCACTCCAAACACCAGTAATTTTTAAAAGACAGAAATAAACATATGTTCTGCCTTCCCAGAAGGAACTATGTTTCAGGGTAGCCAAATAACCCAGTTGTGAAGAAAATGGTCTGCTTATAGAAAAATGCCAGCTAAAACATGTAGATAGAATTAGAGAATTAGAAATTCACCATTTTGAAACCCCTAATGAAATAATCAACTCAAGCAAGGATCATTAATAAATGCTAAAACAATCAAGTAACTATTGATACAGAATATAACTGAATATACACATGGTACAAAGTTCACATCACAGACTACTGGCTTGACCCAAGGGGGAATATAGCAGAGGAGATAGGCAGTGATCACCCTAACCTTGCGATCATCTCACCATCACTAATGATGGAATGTGAATACACATTATTGCCTATGAAATAGTCTTTAAAAAAAGAAGTTGAACCTGAATCTAACTAAACCTTGCAATGGGCTGAACGTGTATGTCTTCCCAAAATTAATATGTTGACATCCTAACCCCAAAGGTGCTGGTATTAAAAGGTGGGGCCTTTAGGGGGTCATTAGATCATAAGGACAGAGCCTTCATGATTGGAATTAGTGCCCTTATAAAAGAGGCCCCAGAGAGCTAGCTAGTCTCTCCCACTATGTGAGGGCCCAGCAAGAAGGCCAATCTATGAACCAGAAAGTTGGTCCTAACCAGATATCAAAACCGCATGCTCCTTGATCTTAAACTTGCTAGTCTCTAGAACTGTGAGAAATAAATTTATGTTCTTTATAAGTCATCCAGTTTTTGGTATTTTGTTATAGCAGGCCTAAAAGCCTTTAGAACTAACTTCCAGTTAACCAGGAAAAAACAGAGTGAAAAGTTAAATGACACCATAAAAAGCAACCAGAAAATTCCAGAAGGGGAAATATTCTACAGGACAATTGACTAGTCTTTCAACAAGTCAATTTCACTAAATAAATACATAAACAAAGAGTAAGGGTATTTTCCAGGTTAAAAAAGTCTTGAGCTAAATAATCAAATGCAATGTGTGTCCCTTGATTAGAAGAAACTAATTTGAACAAACCAGCCACAAAAGATATTTCAGGGAGACCAAGCTGGAAGGATCACTTGAGGCCAGGAGTTTGAGACCAGCCTGGGCAACGTAATAAGACCTCCATCTCTACAAAAACAATAAATTAGCTGGGCATGGTGGTGTGCACCTATAGTCCTAGCTACTCAGGAAGCTGAGGCAGGAAGATCACTTGAGCCCAGGAGTTTGAGGCTGCAATGAGCTATGATTGTTTCACTGCACTTCAGGCTGTGTGAAAGAGCAAGACTTTGTCTCAAAAAATAAAAGGACATTTCATAATAATTGAGGAAATCTGAATGTGGACTGGGTAATAAATGATATAAAAAACATTTTTTATTTTGTTTGAAAAGGTGATTTTGTAACTATACAGGAAAATGTTCTTATTTTTTAGAAATCTGTACTAAAGAATTTAGGGGTAAAATATAATTTTCTTTAATATATTTTCAAACACAAGCAAAAAATAATCATGACACAAATATAGCAAAATGTTTACAATCTATGTTCTATGTTTGCCTATGAGTGCCATTAATCTCATCTCTCTGCTTTTCTGAAAGTTTGAAAATTTCAAAGTTTTATAATAAATTTTTTTACATCCCATAATTTTATAATAAATTTTTTAAAGTTTGAAACAAATCAACAACTATAGCTTCAAAAATATCCTGACCCACAATAAACATTGAACAGGGTATATTTCTCCCATTTCCTAAAAAAGTTGGCCCAGGAAGGAGTATGAGAGCTGCCATAGCTCTCCCAAGGCTCATTATTCTCCATCACTCCATGGGAAATCCCAAAATAATTTTTTTTAAAAGTTGTTTAAATTTATAATGTTTTTGATTCTATAATAATTTTATAATAAAATAATTTTAAAATGTTTTTGATTTTATATTTTTAATTTATAAAAATTTTTATACATGTTTATGTTTGAAATGTCTATTTCAAACTTTATGAGATATTAAAATATAAGTAATATAGTTCATCATTTTAGAAATGCCATGTTTTTCTTCTCCAGCAATTACATAATCAAAGAGTAACTAGTTTTTCCTAGAACATTGCTTTGTAGGCTGGGCATGGTGGTTCATGACACTTCAGGAGGCCAAGGCAGGCAGATCTCTTGAGATCAGGAGTTTGAGACTAGACTGGGCAACACAGAGAAACCCTATGAGTAGTAAAAACACAAAAATAAGCTGTGCATAGTGGCATGCACCTATAGCCCCAGCTACTCAGGAGGCTGAGGTGGGAAGATCACCTGAATCTGGGGAGGTCAAGGCTACAGTGAGCCAAGACTGTGCCATTGCACTCCAGCCTGGGCAACAAAGTGAGACCCTGTCTCAAAAAAAAATGAAATTTAATTTAAAAAATGAAAATTGCTTTTTAAAATTAACTTTTTCCATCAAAACCAAGATTGTTCAGATATAGAGAATGCAGCCCACTGGTCAGATTTGTCAGTTCAAAAATAATAAATTCTAGTTTTCTATTTTTCTAGCCTGCTTATGATTATCCAATAGGATATCAAAAAAGACCAAAGCCTTTGGGATCCAAGTTCAGTATTCCTGAGTCTAACTCAGAATGCCAAATCAGGAGACAAGCACATTCTCATCAATTTTCAATCATTCAAGACCAATTTTGCTTATAATTATCCAGTTCTTTTAGACCACCTTTCTCCTGAAGCCAGCCTTATGGCTATTCACTTCACTTTAGCATAAGCCCCCAAGAAGGTGAACAAAATGAGGAAAAGATTGGTTAAAGTTGGCTGTTTGAAATTCTGAAACATGTCCACCATTCCCTTCACCCATGCCCACCCCTCTTAGAAGTAGTACTTTCAGATTCTTTAAGAGTCGATGCTTCTATGTGGATTTTAATTTGTCATCTGTCCTTTATAACAGCTAGTAGGTTTAATTTGACTCTATTTTAAGCATATATTGACCTATGCTAATTATCTGTTAAAATAAATTCCACTCTTAGAGTTAATAAAGTGTGTTTGTCATAGAAGGCCCATTGAAGTAAGAAGCTGAGGAGCCCTTATGGTAAAGTGGGACAAGAAATAATAAGACATAATAATTTTCCCATGCAAATCAACAACCGTAGCTTCAAAAAATATGAAAGACCATTTGTCAACCTCTCTTCAACTCCCTGATTCTAGCCAAACTTCATCAATCCCAAGTGAGGAGCCAGAGAGAAATCAAACCCCATATATCCAGCATCATTGTCTACTGGAGTCAAAAATCACAATTCCACTACCCACCCCAACACCACTGGCCCTGTTTCTCCCAATTGCTTTTTATTGTGTTTTTAAAAAAATCCTCTTTCCCCATCCCTGCAACACCGAGAAGGAGGAATTATAGTAGATAAATATGAAGCATGGAAATCCTTTAAAATTGTTTTTAATAATAAATGAGAAAATGAAAAGGAGAGGGTTGGGAAGGAAGGAGGGAATTCAAATGCCAGGGAATTGTTCAGTTTCGCTTTTAAAGATGTTAACACTCATTTATACATCTGCAAGACACTCCCCTTAAAGAAAAGTTCTATGAGTGTGGGTCTGGTTGCATGAATAAGGATAAAATTACTTTTTTAGACGATGTTTCCCACATATAATTCAGAGACCCCTGAAATTAGGTATCCCTCTTGTAGATGTCCTTGAGATGCTGCTGGACCTGGGAAAGAGGAAACTGGGATATGGGTCTATGCCAAAAGGTGCTTCTAGTTATAGGACAGAGAGGAAAGGGGCAGAGGGAGAAAAACCCGAAGTCTGAGAATCTGGATTGCAGAAGACTACCGAGTTCGTGGGAGAAGGGAGAGAAAACAAGGATGAAAACCGAAAGGGGAAGAGGCATGAAATGTTGTCAAATGTCAAAAAGGCATTTGGAGAGAAGTTGGGAATTGCATTAAGAAAACCACTGCAAATCTCATTTCAGACCATTTAGAGATATGCCCCCTGGGAACTGCGAGCTCAGGCTGTTTAGCATCAAACAAATGGATCCACTCCATCCCTACCCTAATTAAATAAATCATTCAGTAATTCCACTGGGTTAAAGAACCAAAATATTAAAAACCTTCAGGGCCTGCTCTTGCCAAATATGTCAGGGATCGTGTGTGTGTGTGTGTGTGTGTGTGTGTGTTCTGACACACCACTACTGTTAAATAGGCAGAGCTAAGACTTAGGGGACTGGCAGATTATTGCAAAAAGGGCACGGGGCAGAAGGACTATGTTGTGAGCCTGCGAAAGAAGTTTGTGTGGGGACTGTGGGCAGTGAACGCGTTGGGAACAATATGGAAAACTGGGAGCTGCCTTGGAATCTACAGGGCCGGGTAAGAGAATGTCCGAAAGAAAAATGAGCAGGTGCGGGATGTGCGCAGAGTCAGAGAAGAGTCCAGGGCGCCCGGAGTGGCTCCAGGAACGACGGAAACCCCTCAAGGCTTTTGGGGGCGGTGGGTACTAATAGAACCCAGTGTCCGGGGTGCGCCGGGGAGGCTGCGAGCGCGGCGGGAGTGGGGCGCTGGAGGGTGAGGACGTGGGAGTGAGGTAGCAAAGCTGGGGCCGGGCAGGGGCCTCCCAACTGGGCCCGGAGGCAGCAGGGGGACAAGGGCTAGGAGAGGGCATGGCGACGGCGCGGCGGGAAGCGAAGGGCATCCGGACACTCACCCCGTTGGCCGCGGCCATCTGCACCACGATCTCGATGGCCGTCCTGCTAAAGTACCTGCCGTCGCTGCCCACCACCATGGTGCAGCCCTGACGGTCGCGCAGGTCGATGGACGACAGCACGCTCTGGATAAAGTTGGGCAGGTAGTTGCGCTGGCCCTCGAAGAGGCCGGTGGGTCGCCGCAGACCCCCGCCGCCGGACGGCCGCTGGTCCTCGTAGGGCGCGGTGGGCACTGTCAGCACCGGGATGGGGCTCCCCTCTATGGCGCCTCCTGGCCGGTCCTGCTGCGGCTCCCGGAGCCGGAGGGAATCTGCAGCCTGCCGGGGGCCCCCACCAGCCTGGCTGCGCGCCGGGACTCCGCCTCGCGCCCGGGGCCCCCTCTCCAGCAGGTCGGCGCCCTGCGCCCTGCGCCCGCCCGCCTGGGGACCGCCCGCCCCTCCTCTCCGCGCGGCCGCTCGCTGACTCCCTCGGCAGAGATTGCTTCTGCCTTCCTGTAAAGTTTTCTCCCGCCCACCTTCTCCGCTGCCAGACCGCCCGAGGTGCCCTCAGTTTCTCCCCAAGTTGGACTCACTTTCGGGATGTCCCAAAAGCCTGATTCCAGGGCCTGCTAGCCCGACCCCGGTGACGCCTCCACCCGCGCCTGGCCCCAGCCTTCACCCGCGCTCGCCGCCCTCCGGGACACACCCTCCGCCAGAAAACAGCCGGCGGGCGGCGAGACTTTGGGCAGAGTCCGGGTTCCTCTCCGGCGCCCGGCCCGTCTCCCTATCTCCTTGGGAGTGCGCACCAGTTTCTCTTTAGAACAAGGACGGGGAGGGATTTGGGAGGGGGCTGAAACCTTTTGCCATCAGCGAACAGCCTCAGCCAAAAATAACCCTGGAAAGGCGAGCTAAGAATGGTTATCTCCTGCCAGCGCTGAAATCGGAGGCTGGGCGCTGCGTGCTGTGTGTGTGTGTGTGTGTGTGTGTGTGTGTGTGTGTGTGTGTGTGTGTGTGTGTACGTACCCTCCCACCCCGACCATTTGTTGAAGGGAATCACCACTGTCAGACTTCAATCCAACAGGACCCACTCAAGCCATCCACACTTTCCCCAGCCTCCTCCAAAACAGCACACTTTCCGGTATGGACAATTTTTTTTTTTTTTTCACTTGCTTGTTTGTTGTGGTGGTTGCAACAGCAGCAACACAGATGACACATATCTCCCTATTCTTCTCGCCCTTCTCACCCTCCCTACCCAGCTCCTGCCTTAGAAACAGGCTTGTCCTACACTGTATCTGTCCACACTGTCTGAACTCTTCCCTGAATTAATCGTCTTCAATAGGAGGGGGCTAAATCCCTTATTAATGCCCTACCAGGAGTGAATGAATAAAGCCAAGTTAAAGGAGAACTGGGTACCAGATACTGTGCTAGGTTCCTTTGCATGTATCCTTTCATTCTGCTGGAGCTAAAGATTTTCTGCCTCCTCTCCATAAAACGCACCCAAACTCCAAAACCAGGAAATTCTCCATAGAAAATAGGAGTGAAGAGAGAAAAGACTAACAGGATAAAACCCAAAGCAGGAAGAAAGTTCTATCTCCCATTTCTCTCAATGAATTTTTGGACCCACCAAGGCTACTGTCCTGAAATATCCTGCTGCTTCTCCTTCCCCAAATATTGTCCACTTCCTGAGAGTAAGGCTGACTTGCAGCAGGCTTATAAAGTGTTTGGTCACAGTAAGACAACTGTGAGTAATAACACACATTGTATACTGTTTTGCAATTGATAAAAGGCTTTGCATCTGTTTTTTCTTTGGAGGCTGAAGAAAAGAAGAATGGTATTCACGCAGTTCCCATTTTACAGATGAAAACAAGAGGACTTTTTCTGTGAAGTCAAGAAAGTGGTTACAATGGTACTTTCAGCCTGTCCGAATTATGTATTGCCCCTCCCCTTTTTATTAATAACATTGAAGTGTGATGGGAAAACCACTGAAGCCGTCAGTTGAAACCTGCTGGGACTTTTTAGCCATTCTCTTCAACATAAAGAATGGGTGTTTTTGGAGGGGGTGAGAGGAATGGGGAAATGTTGTCAAAGAGTACAGTGTTTTAGTTGAGACAGGAAGAATATATTTTGTTGAGATCTACAGCACAGCATGGTGACTGTAGTTAACAATGAAGTATTGTGTATTTCAAAATTGCTAAGACAATAAATTTCAAATGTTCTCACCACAAAAAAGATAGGTTTTGAGGTGATGAATCTATTAATTCTCTGGATTTAATTATTCCACAATGTATACATATATCATAACATCACATTATACCTCCGTAAATACATACAATTTTAATTTGTCAATTAACATTTTTTTAAAAGAATAGTGTGGCCAGTTGGGGAGGTAGTTTTTTTTTTTTTTTCCTCTAGTCTCTACTCAGTCTCCAAGATCCCATTCCCCATAAAGTTCCTGTCACCCAGGTGGAGTGCAGTGGCACAATCATGGCTCACTGCACCCTCTCCCTCTTGGGCTCAAGCGATCCTCCCGCCTACAGGTACATGCCACCACGCCCAGCTAATTTTTGTAGTTTTTGTAGACATGGGGTTTCACCATGTTGCCTAGGCTGGTCTCGAACTCCTCAGCTCAATCAATCTGCCCACTTTAGCCTCCCACAGTGCTGGGATTACAGGTGTGAGCCACCAAGCCCAACCCATAAAGTTCCTAACTTTTTATCTCCCTGGGAGTGCACAGCCTACACACACCAGTTTCTCTTTAGAACATACTTAAGAGTCTTGGCTTAGCATCCAACAGACAGAACTTTAACACTTCTAGGGATCTGTGCACCTGTCTATGGTGTGGGGTTTTTAAGATCTCTTTCTAATGACACTTTATTTTGCAAAGCAGGACAGTTTCATTCCCAGAAGAGCAGGTATGGTAAATCCTTTGTTCCAGTAACAAAGACAATGATCCAAACCCTAAGCCTCAGAGAAGCCCAGAAACTCTCCAGGCCTCCATCTCTCTGCTCCTAGCACCTGCCTCTCTCTTGACATCAACATCATTCTCCCCTCTCACAGCCCAGCTCCTTCCACAGACCCAGGGATTAAGCACCAGCACCTCAGACTAGATTTCAGAGAATTACCATTCAAGAGGCAATCCTCTTCCCTTGGTTCCAATTTCAAGGTTCTCAAAGACTGGAACAGGGCTAGTTTGAGGCAATGTGCCCCACCGCATAGCCAGAAAGAACCTTACAGTGAAAAGGAAAACAATTCTTCCAAAGTAAGGGGGTGCTGATCCCCAGAGGGAGGACAGATGGGCAACCAAACAGTAACCGGGCCACCACGTGCTTCACACTCACTGATCAAGGATTTCTAAAACCACTTTTCTTTTCTCTGAATTTATATAGGACTTTGTATCACTCATAAAGGAATGTCTTATAGGCTGATAACACCTTTCTATTCATGCTTATACTTAACATTTAGGCTAGGATAATTTCCTAACCTCAGTGTCCTCACTATAAGATGGGAATTATTATAATCCCTACCTCATAAATTGTTGGGAGGATTAAAATACTTAGTAAAGTGCCTGACTAATAGAAAGGCATTCAATAAATGTTAGCTATTCATGATGTCATCATCATTATATTTACCATTATTACTCATCTCCTGTATTGCAAGAATTACAGTTTATATTTTCGTAGACCATCACTGTAGCTAAAGGGTCTTTGGGCCATAGGTGATATTCCATAAAGGTTGGTTAAATTGATCTGTGGTTTTTGACTATGGAAACTCAGAACTCCCTCAAAATGTACAAAACAGATTTACCTGCTAAATAAATCTCTTCAAAGCTGACCCCAGGTTTAATTGAATTAATTCCAATGAATTTGTCACAATGATGGAGAAAGGAAACTTAGAGGGCCCCACAGTTGTTTGCTGGTAAAATGAGAAGTTTGGATTAGATCAATGTTTCCCAAAATATTTTCCTCAGAATGTTAGTGCCCCTCGAATCCTGCACAAAGCAAGAGTTTCATGACCAAGTAGCTTTTAAAACTCCTGTACACTCTACTCCCATTCTTCACAATGCACACTTTCATATTAAAAGTTCTGAGAGGTCCTCAACAGAAGACATCACTTAACTTTTTTTTTTTTTTTTTAAGACAGATTCTCACTCTGTCACCCAGGCTGGAGTACAGTGGCCACCACTCCTGGCCTAAAAATTTTTTAACCTGGTGCTTCCCAATCTAAACTCACAGGGACCAGTTTTCTTAACGAAAGAGAATCAGACTAGCTTGTAACCAAAGCTGGTGACACTCCCCTGCCCCATTCCTTGTATGTCCTCAGTGGACTAGGTCAGGAATAAATAAATTTTCCTGATTCTCAAGGGCTGGTCACTCATTTGCACTGAGCTCAAAGCTTCTCTGTAGCATGGGTCACAATGAATGGTAGCCCTGATAGCCTAGAGTAGCCTTTCAGCCTTCTCTGAGCCTCTAAAGACTGAGGATCCTTGGCATGAAATAGGAGCAACTGATATACCCTTGCTTCCCCTGGGGACTCTCTTGCTCTCAAAAAGGCATCAGCCATCATCTCCATCTAGAGAATATACTAGCTGACTCAGCTTGACCAGCCTGTCCCAAAATGAGAATCTGGGTAAAATAAGTATTGAAACACTTCATTCCTTGTAGATTCACAAAACACATTAGCATATTAAAGACTATGAAGTTCTGCCGGAAAAAAAACCTATTTAACTTTAATCCAACATTGCCAAGTTTTATTTGACCATGGAAGATTTTTCCAAAACACTTACAAACAGATCAAGGACATTAATCTCTCATGAAACACTTTAGATCCCCAGGGTCCTCTCCAGCTACATCATTCTGTGATTTTCTTTTTTATTTATGATGCATTAAAAGATTAATCTCTATCAGACTTCCATTTAGAAATTCACCAGAATGTGCAAAGGCAGCAGGTAAAATTGCCGAAGGGTATTATAAAAATACCCTCCAGTGATTTTTGAAACTTAAACTGAAATATTTATATAACTATATATTTCAGTTTGTATATTATATATATATGTATATACACACATATATATGTGTGTATATATATTTGTGTATGTATATCTATATCTATGTATATATGGCATTATATCCATTTTACAGGTGCAGAAACTGAGCTTTAGAGGGGGTGAGCAATTGGTCCAAAGCCACACAGCACACAGGTAGTCATTGATAAAGGTAAAAACAAGAGTTGAAGCCTGAGGTGTAAGGACACAGAGACAAGTACACAAATGTTTACAAGTTACACATATGACACGTGCCTTTAACATGAATTTCTTGAACATTCATTTAGAGGCCTTACAATGAAGACATCAGAGTGGCAGCAAGTTCTGTTGGAATCAGGGGAGCGTGTTCTTCTATAATCCCCTGGCTGACAGGAAAGCACACTGATTTGGCCCATGGTAGTTATACACTCCCATTGAGTTAGGGGCCACTTCTATGCACACAGGAGGTGCTAAAAATATGCTGTTGACTCATTGCCTCTAAGAGCAGAAGAAATGCCAAAAGTATAGGACAAGAGGCAGAAAAGCACACGGAAAAATGTCGTAGGGCAGTCCTCTGAGGAAGTGTTAGATCCCTTTGAAATCTGTCCAAACACTTTCTTGTGCTGGGGAAAGTCAATTACATATTTCAAGCAACCCCACATGTCATACGAGTATCTTGTACACGTTTGCGTACTCGTGTCTGTGAACTTACATCTCAGACTTCAACTTCTCGCTTCCCACCCTTATCAATGACTGCCTGCATGGCCTTGGGCAAGTTGCTTTCCCTCTTCAAAGCTCAGTTTCTGCATCTATAAAACGGACATAATGCTACCTACCTCATGGGGTTAGTGATCACATTTAAGGAGCTAATATGTGGAGATTGCTTACACAGTACCTGTCACATAATAAGGGTTTAATAAGTGTTTGATGTAATTGTTTTGATTATTACTACTATTACTAAAATAATAATTACTACAATAATAATGATTCTTATTCTCTATATTAGTATTATCTTTGAAAATGGGCATGGATTATGTCTATGTAACACTTTTGGCACAATATCTAGCATTATATCACATACAAATTAGAGAATTCATGTTATTAAGGATGAAAAAATATTTTTACTGACCCTTAAATTCTTCATAAGTAACTGCAAAAGAAGCCATTATCCCAACACATGAAATAAAAAAAAAATTCAGTTCCTCTGGAGTTTGTTTTTGGAGGTAGCCACAGGATACCTAAATTTTTTTTTCTTTTCAGAGAGACCGAGGGGCTCACTAGGTTGACCAGGCTGGTCTTGAACTCCTGGCCTCAAGCCATCCTCCCACCTCAGCCTCCCAAAGTGCTGGGATTACATGCATGAGCCACCACATCCAGCCTCCCTAAAATATTGAATGCTGTTAATAAATCTCCTAAGAAGGTGATGGGCAAAACTAATGCAGGTATGTTTTTCTGGCTTTTTCATGTATTGGGCCCAACTTTGAAAAGCGCTTACTATTAATGGCTAACTTGCAAAATTTGTGATTTATTAAAAGCAGATTTTAATTGTTTTACCTAAAATTAATAGGCCTCTGATCTGCCAAAGATGAAGATTTAATTTCTAGGTGTTCCCCACAATACCTAGAAACATCAGTGTAATCGATTATTAAACACTTTAGAACTATTCTCATCAAAGTTCTTTATTATATAATACAGCAAAAGAAAAGTTTCTTTTCTAAAGGCTTCTCTATACTTTTTTTAATAGTTGAATTTCATTTCTGAAGGCTCCTAAAAAGAATAGAATTTAGATCTTTATTAAAGAGGAAATATATTTTCCATGTTTAATTTAAATTACATTCCATCAGTCATTTGCAATCTTAGCCTACACGGAATTTTTTTTTTTTTTTGGTAGTTTTTATGTTTGGGCTTTAGGAGGGGATTCCCAATAATCTCTATATAAATATTTCTAATCTCTATATAAATATTTTAACATTTCAATGTAAATTAGTTTTTTAAAGCTATTTTATCCATAAAAATAATGAACTTGCATGGCTGAGGGTGAAATAATGTGTTATCAGGAGCCCTCAGTTTTGGGGGTTGTGAGTAGATCCCATCTTCATGTTCCTCCAGCCCAGCCCAAGCCTGGCTCAGGTCCTCCTCCCCCATTTGTCAGGAACCACCATCCCCAGGGATTCTATGTGCCCTGCCTGACCAGTGTTCTCCATCAGAGTTTACCAATCTTTTGTTCATTCCCTCAGAGCACAGCTAAGCAAGAGTACACTAATTTGAAAATTAACTCAAGCAAATAGAGGAACAATATCCCCAACACATTGCATTTTAACATAGGGTTTCCTGGACACACTGTTTCAACCCAAGAGTTGGGCTAATAGTAGGAGTTCCATCTGCTAAAATACGGCTGTCAGCTTCAGAGGGAAATTCATGAACGTCTTCATAGTTTGTTTTTACGTTTCACTTGGCACTGTTTCTAAAATTTCCTCTGAAGCCAAAAAATAAGTTATTTCCCAGCACACTGGTCACTTTTCATTTATCATTGGATTGATTTTTCTAACTTGCAGTAGGAGCTGAAATCGACCAGGGGGTTCTTATCCAACAGACAGCAGCAAAACTCTTTGTGTATCTGCGTTCCTTTCAACAAGTGTGACTTCCTCAATGGCATCATTTGTGAGCGTAACACAGAGCTCAGCAATAACGTTTCTTCACTAACCCTACCAGGTATCCAACATAGGATGTTACTTCCTTTCACTGTTTTCCGACTCCTGGCAGATATTAATCATTGGGATTTGGGAACAAGGAAATAGAATTTCTGAGAATGCTTGGGAATTCCCAAATTCATATGATTTTCATAACACTTCACTTACAAGTTTTTGAAAAATAATAAGTGACTATAATAACAAGCAAATAGTCGTTTTTTTTCTGTAACAGGATTATATGAAAAGTTTTAGTAGTCTTCTGTTTTAAAAAGATATGATAACAAATGATGATTTATTATTATTATGAGCCAACATATTGTAACAAGATTATAAAATCCAATAGCATTAATAGAGAAAACATTAAAAAGAAATGAATATTATCACAAAATAAATGCTAAAGAAAAGTCCTTTAAAGATTGAAAGGTAACACCACAAATACTTAATGCTTTAATCATTGTTTACATGACATTGTTAAACAAGGCATCAATCATCCCCTCCAATACCATTTAAATAACATAACATTCTGATCTCCTGGCAAGACGAATAGCACTAGAAAGAAGCAACTGTCAAAATTGCCGATTTAAGGGCATATTTTGTTTCTAAAACTTGGCATTTCTTAGAAAACCTCTCATAGGATTTGTAAAACATATACTATGCCTACGAACACATTAATATTTATTTGCAGAAATGATTCACTGTTAGCAGTGGACAAGGCCATGAACACACACTTATAACACAGCAACAGATACAAGAAAGTGTGACTGAGGCTCCATTACTGCTCCTGTCCTGTTCACCTTAACTTTCATCTCCACGTGTCAGTGCTTCCTCATCTTGCTTGACTTGAAGTCAGTGCATTTCTTCAAGCCAGTAAGTTCTCTATACTGACTATTAAGCTGTAATTTTCACAGGAAAATTAGAATGTTCCTTCCCATTTTCCTAATTTCTCAACTGATTTTTCTCAGAATTCAGAATCCATAAATATTGAAATGCCAGGAGAGAATTTCCAAATGGAAATGCTATTCCCTTCGTCCATTTTCAGAAGAAACTGTAGCATAGTGTTATCCTTCTCTTCTCCAATTTTTTTTTTTTCCTGCAAACTTATGGTTATCACCTCTTTAATTTTGCCTCCCCTGCAAATGGTCCCAAAACAGTGAAGTGGGTCCTCTTTAGCTGTGTCTTTAGTACATAATCCTGCATTTCTGACCATATGCAGGGAGTGTGACCCAGGGAAGGATCCCTGACTCAATGGGATTTCTCTTGCTGTCTCTAGAATTTGAACACCGGAACCCAGACGTACAGAGGCTGGGAGCCATTGTGGTGTGCTATATTGATGACGGCAGCAGTGGGTGGTGTGGGGGCAGTTAATTGACAGCTACCTGTTGCTGACATCCCAGGAACTGCCTGAACCTCCTCTTTCCCAGTCATAAGATATCTAAGATTCTGCAGTATTCTTCATTAAATCCTAGCATGGTTTAAGCTAGCCAGAATTAGGTTCTGTTGCTTTCAATCAACAGAACCTTAGCTAATACATTGTTATTTCCTGGTCTTTGTTCCTTTAATTTTCCAGGAAAATAAGGGAAAATGGCTTACTGGTTTTAAAAAGAGACAAGGGACAACATACCATTTATGCAAAATTTAGAAGCACTCAAAGGAAACTCTGGAAAGTTCCTGAGACATATATAGGTAGGATCAGCATAAAACTTGAACAGTGTATCTAGATCATGGTTGCCATGGTTGCCTTGACACAATGAACATCTGTATCAAGATCATATTTTCTTGGTGGGACAGAGAGAAGCACAAGGCGGGACTCACATTTACAGTAATCCTTGTTTTCCAGGGACCATACAACCCAGTTTGTCTAGAGCTGTTCATCTTAAGTTTGTTATCCCACCATAATTATAAATAGAACCTCCTTTTTCTCTCAAGAATATCCCACTTTGGATGATAATTTCTGTGACTACCCATTAAGAATATTTAATAACTATAGAAAACTGCTTCTCTATATTTTTTGTATGTTTGAAACATTTTATAACAAAAATATCTTTAAAGTTATCACCTACACAGAATATAGCTGCCAAATGCTCCTACTCTGCTATTCTAACCATGAATCCCTCTGGGGCCCCTTCCTCCTATGGCACTTGTGAAGATGAAATGAAATAAGCTCTATGAAGTGCCCAACAGTGACCAACACTGAATAAAATACAGCCACCATAGGTGTCCTTCCCTTATGTTCACCAAACTCCTGATAAGTTATTTGGTGATGTTTTAATCTTAATATTTTATGTAGATTATACATTCATCTGATTCAAAATGCAAAAGGTACAAAAGCGTATACAGTTAAAAGCTTCCCAACCCACTACCTTTTATCTCCCTGGAGGCAACTGTTTCCAGATTTTTGAATATCCTTAAAGAATATCATATGTATGGAAAAGAAAGATTATATATTTATATGCATCTGTGTATGCATTTTCCTATGAGAGGCTCACAAAGTCTCCTTGAAGAGATATCATTATTACAAATACCCCTCAATTTACAATGGGGTTATATTCCAATAAACTTATGAAAATATTGTAAGCTGAAAATGCATTTAATACACTTAACCTACTAAACATCATAGCTTAGCTCGGCCTACCTTAAACACTCACATTAACCTACAGTTAGGCAAAATCATCTAACAGAAAGCCCATTTTATAATAAAGTGGGCTTTGAATATCTCATGTAATATAATGAATACTGTACTGAAAGTGGAAAACAGAATGGTTGTATGGGTACTCAAAGTACAGCTTCTGCTGAATGTGTATTGCTTTCAAACTATCTTAAAGTTGAAAAATCATAAGTCAAAATATTGTAAGTCAGGGATTGTTTGTACTTCCACTTTACATGATGAAATTGAGCCTTGAAAAGATTAAGTGACTCGCCCAAGGTCACACTGGCAGTTAAATAGTGAAACTTGGATCCAAATTGTTCAGTCACTACATGTATTGTCTTGAAATTTGAAAAAGAGGAAGAGGAATTAAACTACTAAATTGAAGGAATATTTTAGGCATAGAAGAAGCAGATGCCTTCATGTCCAAGTGATTGTGAAAAGCCCACTTGCCCCAAAATATGTCTCCTGGTCATATGAAATTCCACCATTTCAGATTTTTACCTGGGGATTTAGAGTAATCTGCTGTTCTCCTAGAGCTCCCCTAAAATAGAAATAGAAATTTTGGAAGGCTAAATATATGCTAACATTGGAAAACTCATTTTCTCCCCTTCGTAAGGCAAGGTACTGAAGGAGGGGGCCCTACAGGCTGTGCAGGGACATCCTGGAGGCATGGGGAGAAGAAACTGAAAGGCAAGGTTGTATGGAACAAAGAATACCGATCTCAGGATTCTCCCTTGAACCTGCCCTAACTTTGTTCAAATAGACTTAGCCACTGACCTGCTGTCAAAAGACCACAGCCAATCTGACTTGTTTTCAATATAATGATGAATATTGATTTGGTCCCTTCATCCAACATTCTCAGCTGGATCTCTTTTTGACCAAGGATATACATTACTAGGTGAGTACAGGCAGTTAATTCTTCCACACGGGACTTCGGAGTTTCTGAGTTAACCAGAATCACCCACCTTAACATCTGCCAGTTTATACCCCAAGTCCTGACCAGTGCCCCCTACCTGCTATGCCTCATGTTTTCAATATAGCATAAAATCAGAAATGAAAGATGAAACATCATAGCCAATATCACAGAAATACAAAGGATCCTAAGAAACTGCTAGGTATAATTACACACTAACTAATTGGATCATCTAGAAGAAATGGATAAATTCCCAGACACATAAAACCTACCAAGATTGACTCATGAAGAAATTAAAAAATCTGAACAGACTAATAGCAAGCAAGGAGGTTGAATCAGTAAGAAAATGTATCCTATCAATGAAAAACCCAAAACCAGATGACTTCCCAGATTAATTCTACCAAATATTTTAAGAAGAACTAATACCAGTCCTTCTCAAACTCTTCCAAAAAGCTGAAGTGGAGGGAATACTTCCAAACTCATCTTACAGGGCCAGCATTACCCTGATTCCAAAGCCAGACAAGAACACTACAAGAAAGGAAAATTACAGGCCAATATCCTTGATCTACATAGATGCAGAAATCCTCAACAAAATCCTAGCAAACCAAATTCAATAGCACATTGAAAGAATCATTCACCATGATCATGTCATGGTTCAACATAAGCAAATCAATACATATAATATACCATATTAGAAAAATAAAGGATAGAAACTATATGGCCATCTCAATAGATACAGAAAAAGCTTTTGACAAAATTTGAAACCCTTTCATGGTTAAAAAAAAAAAAAACACCCAGCAGATCACGTATTGAGGGACTGTATCCCAACAAAATAAAGGCCATATATGACAAACCCATAGCTAACAGCATAATCAGTGGTGAAAAGTTGAAACTTTTCTTCTACCATCAGGAACAAGACAAGGATGCCCACGGACACCACTTCTCAGGGTAATTAGGCAAAAGAAAGAAATAAAAGGCATCCTAATAGGAAAGGAAGAAGTGAAACTGTCTCTACTGACAGCATGATCTTGTTATATATAGAAAACCCTACAAACTTCACTAAAAAAAGGTTAGAACTCAACACAAAGAAGGGAACAATAGACACTGGGGGACTCCAAAGGTGGGAGGGAAGGATGGTGGGAGCAAGGGTTGAAAAACTACCTATCGATTACTATGCTCACTGCTTGGGTGGTGGGATCATTAGAAGCCCAAACCTCAGCACCATGCAATATACCTGTGTAAGAAACCTGTACATCTACCCTCCTGACTCTAAAATGAAACGTACAATATTTAAAAAACAAAAACAAATAAATAAAATTTGAAAACTGTTAGAACTGAACTGATAGGTGAAATCAGTAAAGTTGTAGGATACAAAATCAACATATAGAGCCTTGAACACAGCAACATCCAGCTGTCTGACATGAAAGTCTCAGGGGCAAGAAAACCTCTATATGAACTCAGAAACAATGAGCTAAGTTGTGTTTATGTCTGAAAGGATGTTAAGAACTGCATTCATGTTACATCAGAGCCAAAAGAAAGAACCAACAGGAAACCTGTACCCAACAAACAGAAATGACAAGATGAAGGGAAAGCAGAGGTAAGGGCTTACCTTAGAAAGGGCA
This sequence comes from Homo sapiens, assembly GCF_000001405.40. Classification (NCBI taxonomy): domain Eukaryota; kingdom Metazoa; phylum Chordata; class Mammalia; order Primates; family Hominidae; genus Homo; species Homo sapiens. The sequence continues at coordinate 41,087,056 of NC_000009.12, forward strand.
AGTGATTAGCTCAATATGCAATACAATGTTTGCTCCTGAGCCAAAAATTTGTACAATAATTTGGATATTACTTGCACGACCAGAAAAATCAGCCACTCATTAGGAAAATGTGTTTCTGTATAAGTCTTAGGACTCAGCTATCTATAATAACATGAAAAGACAATATTTTCATCCAAAATGAGTATTTTTGTTTGTCTTGGCTTGTTATTCTAACGTCAACAGCCTCTAAATAAACTGTTGAAGTACATGATATAACCACCTCTTTCTCCATCTTTCCCATTGCTCCCATAGGGTTTCAGTTGTGCAATTTCACCATTAGCAAAGCTTTTTGCTGAAATCTGGATTTTCAAAGGGAGAGTATCCAGAAACAGAAGATGCTGATCTGGGAGGCTCTTCCTAATAGAACTGCTGCTTCAGTTTAGCTTGAAAAAGCCCACACTCAGTTCCTAATGACAAACATCTGAACACCAGGTCTTCCCACGAGCAAGACCATGCTATTCCTCCTGCTCGCTCTGTTCTATAAGCAACCCACAGATTGCTCCCTGTGAAGAGGAGCCTGCCAGGGAGCAGCATTCCACCAGATCCTGATTTAGCAAGATATTTCCGTATCATTCCCCCAACCAGCTGGAAGTCCTCCACTGTTCTTGTGTAAAAATCTAACTCATCTCGCTGAATTTCCTGATTTAAAAGTCTAATTCATTTCACCAAAAGTGTGACAGAAGGAAACCAAGTACACCATCTCTCTCTTACCAAACCAAAGCTATTGCATGTGCATTCTGGGAGAAAAAAATGGTCCAAATATGTTATGGAGGGGGTGCCAGCCCAGTGTCATCCTCTTACTATTGCCATAGGATCTTGGCTGATGGCATCAGAAGAAAAACAAGTTTATCGATTACTTTCAACCATTAAGCTCACTCCTCCATGAAAAATAAGTCACAAGTCCAATGTCTCTTATTAAAATAAGCACTGCAAAATATAAAGGACTCACAGTTTTAAAATGGGACACACGTTCTCTAAGCGGTGAACCACTTTAGAGGTGTACTGTTTACATTGTATAAAGTCCCCTGGAGCCAGGGTTAGGAAGCGCATCTGTTCTTTGGTGTTCTGGGATGAAGGAGAAAGGAAAATGTGCTGCCAGAAGTGAGTGGGAAGGAGCCCATGAGATAAAGGAAGTAAATCCATTTGCTGATTGCAATAATAATGGTAATACACGAAGCTATACATACATACATACATACATACATACATACATGCAAACTTTCACATTTTTTAAAAAAAGAACTTAAGGCTTCCACACATGTAATCAGCCCTTATGAACTCTCCTGATTAGCTGCAAGGAAAATCTTCCTTTCTCCTTTTTCCTGCACCATCCTGGGCTCCCTTTTGACTTTTTTTTTTTTTTTTTTTTTTTAACTTATAAACGATCAGCTCATATTCCGAAGTTTGTAGTCCCCTCCCGTCCCCTCTCTCTCTATACCGCTCATTTACATTGGCAGCTGTCGTGCTGCTGGGCATCCTCAAACCCACCAGTTTCCCTTTTATGTTTGAGCAGACAAACATGATCATGCACTAGGCATCACTGTGCCACTCAAAATGCTTTGTTTTTTTATTGCATCTGAGAGAAATCTCAAGGTTGCAAACCTGGAGTCAGAATTGTCTCCATGTGTCTCAGTGGGAAGAGTATCGTGTGAAGAAATAAGTTGATTCTACTAATCAAAAGGAATTTTTTTTGATATCAGGTCATCCTCCGAATGAATTTATATTACCGAGTGGAGGGTCACATGAAGAAAATGGTCAAACAGCACCACCTACAGCAAGAGCTGAGAAGTGCAGCGGAGCCGGGCTGAGTCAGGAAAGAAAAGCAAGCTGGGGCCTGGCTCAGAGCTCTCCCCTCTGCTCCTGTCTGCACGGAAAGATTAGGATGACAGTGGCAGGAAGCCTGTGCACCTAGTATGCATCACTTGAAGGGAACACACAGATTCCAGTAAACAGTTGGAAGGAAATGTTAATACCAGGCTCTGCTAAACAATATGAAATGACTCCTAGATGAGACAAGTGACTTTCATCAAAGTTTCCTGATACCTGAAAAGATAGCCCAGGTGATCCTGCACTACATCTGCTGTATGTAAATTAAGCGGGTTTTTTTCCCCTTTGTAATCAAGGCTCATACACAAACAAAATCACACTTTAGAAACGGCTTATTTCAACTTGTAACTAGCTTGCTTTCAGGGGCTCCAGGTCAAAAAGAAATAGAGCACAAAGACGCTTTCTCCTTAGGGATCATACACAAATTCACTCTGTCCGTTTCTTTCCCACATGGAGCAACAAAGCCATCAGACCTCTCCATCCACCCATCGGGTCCTTCCTGATTAAAGTGAGATAAATCACAGCCCTCTCTCTCCAGATGGCAGGCGACAAGAGGGGGATGCTTGCCTCAAGAAGTCCTCCCCATCCCTCTGCATTCATGCAAGCCCGAGCGGAGAGATGCAAGAAATTATGGATGCATTTTAATTGCCCAGACCCTGCAATTAAAAATGGAAATTTTTTGGCCACGCGTGTTGGCTCACGCCTGTAATCCCAGCACTTTCGGAGGCCGAGGTCGGCGGATCATTTGGGGTCAGGAGTTCGAGACCAGCCTGGCCAACATGGTGAAACCCTGTCTCTACTGAAAATACAAAAATTAGCTAGGAATGGTGGTGGGAGCCTGTCGTCCCAGCTACTCGGGAGGATGAGGCAGGAGAATCACTTGAACCCGGGAGGCAAAGTTTGCAGTGAGCCAAGATCGCACCACTGCACTCCACTCTGGGTGACAAAGCAAGACTTCATCTCAAAAAATGTTTTTTAAAAATGGAAGTGTTGTTCTTTCATTTGTAAATGTGTTTTGGTAAAAGAGGGGCAGTTTAAGCAACCCTTTTTTGTTGTCTACATTGTTAAAATTCATCAGACATGGACTCTTGACTCCGTTTTGCCTGGGCAGACCCAATTCAAGCATTTACAACAGCTATAACTTCCTCAAATCAAAAAGAGGAATCAGCATTATTGCTAAGTTCAAATAAGGTCTTGTTTTATTTCATTTTTATTTTTGAATGCAGCCATTCCTCCAGGTGCTATCATCAGGTAAGATTGTCAGTCCTGATTAGGTAAAGGTATTATTACAAAATGCAATTCTTAAAAATTCAGTGTCTAACTACACTTTTAATAAGCCTTTCCCCCTCCCCTATGTATTCTCCCTTAGACACCCCTTCTCAAATTTAAAATCACAGAAACTAAAATATGATGCCTAAAGAGAGCCTAGCAACTGCCCAGTCCTCTAATTTGATGAGTGGGAGTACTGAAGCCCAGAGGAGGTCAAGTAATTTGTTCCCAATGTCTTAGATAAGAAGAAAATGACCAGCTGGGAAATCCCACTCATGTCAAGGCAGAGGCACAGGGCCACAGACTGTGGTTGAATTGTGCCACACTCCTACATCCTTCTTTAGGAATCACAGAACATTCCTGTGTTGAGTTGGAGTCACTGACTTCCTTTTCAGGCTGATTGAGTTCTGTCCTTACAGGCTGCGACAAGAAGTTTTGGTATTATGCTACACCAAGACCATTTATCTAGTTCAAGAAATGAGCACAGTCCTTAGAGCCCAGCAACTTTCCCCATGTCCAGTAAATGTAGCTTCTCCATTAGAAGCTGTCAGAATGGAGCCTTCTGGCTCATCTTGATTTTGATTTGTGCAAGAATGAATGGTTGTGCTAAGACAGCTTTCCTAGCTGATAGTGAGCAAAACTTTTTTCTCATAATCTATAAAAAAATATTAAATTAGAAGCACAGAGTTTATTTCATGACTTTTATCTTCCTGCAATTTTCTTATGGGCATAAATGATTTGTTTTTATCCTGCCTGCCCCCCCAATCCCTTTTCCAAGAGACTAAAAGAGTATCTAGTGCAAAGTAGATACTCAAATATTTTTTAATAAACAGTGATCCCAGCCACCCAGTGCATGTTGCCAAATGCCAACCCCATAAATGATCAAACACATCATCTCATTCAGCCAATCAAAATCAAGTGCTACCTATTTTTTTAAGTTTTCATAGCCCTTGGGCATCTGCTTTCTCAGCATTTCCCAAACTTGAGTCATTCTCATCCTGCCTTCATAATTTTGCTCTGTCAATTACCTCTACTATTATTTATTTCATATATTTTTAAATAGCCCCACTTTTGAAACTTAAATACATGCCTTTTAAAAGGAAGCTTTCTTACTACTATACATCAAAAGCCATTATTACTTGTTCTAAGTACTCATAACAACATATTCACAACTATTAAAATTTAGTAATGTGCATCCACATACTCTCTAAATTCATGGAGCATCTGCACACACTTTAAGAAACAATTCTGCATTACTCACTCAATTTTCTTGACATCCTTCTGAGGCAGGACAAACCTTGGGCCCAAAGAATTGAGGTAGGAGTCCAAGCAAGTTGCCAGCCACATAAAGGCAAACCTTGGCTCGGAAGTCAGGACCTAGGTTATGGTTCATGCTCTTTCCTCTGCTCTCCAGAACCTCCTATCTCCAAGTGTAGTTAGCAGCCCAGATGCAGCAGCATCCCCTAGAGACTTGTTAAAAATGCAGAAGCTCAGGCTCCACCCCAGGCCTATGCAGACTGAATCTGCATTTTAACAAGGTCCAGGTAATTCACGTGCACATTAAGTTTGAAAAGGCCTGGTCTAGATCAGCAGTTCTCTAACTTAGCAGCACATTAGAACCATCTGTAGAGACTTTAAAAATACCAGTGCCTGGGCTTCATCTCCCGGAGAATCTGATTTAAGTGTCTGGGGTTTGCCCTGAGTCTAGGTATTTTTTAGAACTCCTCAGCTTATACAAAGCTGGCAGGGCCGGGCACAGTGGCTCATGCCTATAATCCCAGCACTTCGTGAGGCCAAAGTGGGCAGATTGCTTGAGTCCAGGAGTTTGAGACTAGCCCGGGCTAAAACCCCATCCCTACAAAAAAAAAAATACAAAAAGTAGTTGGGCATGGTGGTGGCACATACCTGTAGTCCCGGCTACTCAGGAGGCTGAGTCCTCGCTTGAACCCAGGAGGTCACGGTCTGGTCAACAGAGCAAGACCCTGTATCAAAACAAACAAACAAAAAATGCTAGCAGCTTACCAGCTAGGGAGGCCTGTACAGCCAAGTTTTCCAAATGGGGCTACATTAGTTGTTCCAGAACTTTAGCTGCATCAAAACCACCTGGATGGCTTGTTCAGCTACAGAGGGTCTGGCCATGCCCCTAGAGTTTCCAGCTGAGGGTCTGGAATGAGGCCCGATGATTTGCATTTCTAACAATCTCCAGGCGATGCTAATGCTGTGGGTCCAGGGACCACATTTTGAGAATCTATGCTAAATGAACCGGACAAGATCAAAGCTCAAACTTATTCCAAGAACTTTTCAAGGCCCACCTGCAAGTTGTAGTGGAAGTAAGCATCTAAGGGTGCAAAAAAGTTTCACTGTAGACTAAGGCCTTTTACCTGAGCTCTCAAATGTTCACATTTCTCTTATCAACCTAAATAACAAACAGAGAGAGGCTCTCCACAAGAAAAAGATATTCGTTTGGAAACAGAGCCTTGCAATAGAAATAGGCAAGCCAGAGTAAACTATATGCATATTCACGGAGGTAAAGGAAGACAAAAGAAAAAATGAGGAAGATTATATGATCATTTGGAAATGATTATCCTTGGCTACAAAGATCAATAACAAAGGTGATGCCAGGCCCAGGTTGGACAGGCAGTTGTTGGACAAATATCCTTCAGAAGCATTGTTGTGTGCAAAGTTGCGATGGGCTTTGTGCAAGATTGTGTTTTTTGCAGTCTTCTGTGATAAGTTTTTGTTATCAGGCATACAAGCCCAAGAATCCTTTTTTGCATGGCCTTCCCTGGCTCTATTTGTCAGGGTTTTGGTTAGGGGAGGGGTATTTTTAACACTCTCAATGTAAAAAATGCCATAAGGTAGGTACCCCAATTGCTTGTTTCGTCTTCATAAAATAACTTTTCCACCCGAACAAAGTCTACACATAAATTGTAAAAATACCCTGGCATGCAGTCCCTGGAAAAGTTTGGAGTCATTCTCGGGGTTCCCACCCAGGTGGGCGAGTGTAGCCACCACAGATAAACACAAAGTAGGGGTGCCCGCTGGGGTTTGGTGGCAGGCAGTGGCCCTGGTTGGTATATTTGGCTGAAAACACAGCTCCTCTTTGTCACCCTCAGGAAGCCATCCCAAACCGCTCGAGGAGTCCTTGAAGCCAATGTTACCACTAGGGCAGCAAGTTTGCCTGAAAGCTATTTGCCTTTGCAGCAGATTCATTAAGCCAGAACAAAGAGAAGACCAATGACTAAAAGATTTCTCTCCTTTTAAAAATCATGCTCTTTAACTCATAGCACATTTTCATTGTCCATCTGGGCAAAGCCGCTGTCTCATTTTGCTTTTTCCCTCGTCTGTGATGCTCACACTCATCCTCCCTATCCCATCAGCAACCTCTCTAGTATGTTTGATATGTGTCCTTAAACTTTATATCTTGGCCGGGGGCGCGGTGGCTGTAATCTCAGCACTTTGGGAGATGGAGGTGGGTCTATCACTTGAGCCCAGGAGTTTGAGATCAGCCTGAGCAACATAGTAAGATTTCATCTTTACTAAAAATAAAAAACAAAAAAAATTTAGCGAGGTATGGTGGCCTGTGCCTGTAATCCTAGCTACTTGGGAGGCTGAGGTGGGAGGATCACTTGGGCCTGGGAGGTCAAGACTGCAGTAAGCTGAGATGGCGCCACTGCCCTCCAGGCTGGGCAACAGAGTGAGACCCTGTCACAAGAAAAAAAAAAAAGAAAAAACAACTATCTCTGTAGAAATAGGCAAGGTTGTTTGATATGCAAATGTGGCTTTAAATTACATAATAACATTATATCAGTAAGCCCATTTTTTTCTTATAGTTGCACTCAACATCATGATTTTAAGACCTAGGCATGTTGCTTTATATTTTACCTCATGAGAAGTCACCTTTACACATCTGTTTCTCACACTGAAATCAACATGCTTTTGAGTCAGTATTTAGGACTGAGTGAGGCTGTTCGCTGGAGTTAATCTGACACCAGATGCATTTATCCCTCTTTAGGACTGTAATGAATTCCTTTCCGCTCTGTTCGCCCATGCTCACTAGTTGGCATCACAGATGTCATCTTTGAAAAAGAAAAACATCTCATCCCTTGGTTTCCTGACAACCACCCCCACCCCCTGCCTTGGCTCTTTTTCATGGAATTTGCACCAAACAGCACAGAGACAAACGTCTCTCTAACGTCTATGATTTATCCTTGCTTACACAAGATCACTCCAGCCTATAAAAAAGTATTTTTAAAAAATATGAAAAGTTACCCCAGTCTTGGATTACAGAGTTTCAGATAAAAATGAAAACATAGTAAAATTGCTTATCAGAGAGTTTCCTGTTCTTATTCGCCCTTACTCCTTTCGCAGATGTGAGTCATAAATCCACAACCAAATCCTCCCTCCTTCAAGGTCAACTCCTACTAACACCCATGAGGAGGGAATTTGGCTCATATAATAACACTTAATTAAAATGTATAATGTCCACATGTACATGAGAGATAAAAAGAATGCTTCTTCGGGTATGTTTCCAGCCCAATCTTTCAAAATACGTGAAGTATTTCTTAATCTACTATACCCTATAAATGATAAATATAAGATACTAAGATTTAAAATACTTTCAATAACACTTTCCTAGGCCTCCAGATGAGCACTACATAAGTTTATAATAAAATATTTAAAATAGCTACCATGTATTATGTGTTTTTAATGTGCCAGGCACTGGAGTAATGTGCTTTCACATTTTAATTCTCATAAGCCAAAAACATAGATTTTTTATCTTCGTTTTAAAGTTGAAAGACCTAAGGCTCAGAGATAAATTTTTTAAAAAATCTTTAATCCCTTTATACAAGATTAGCTCATTCTCACAAGCCAAAAATAAAACCCAAAACTCCCATATCTCCCCACATAAAAAAATACTCTTTAACTTCTTTCTCCCTCCAGAACCCCTCCTCCCTCTCCTTTCTATCTTCAGCCAACATCTGGAAGGTTCTGTCTACATTCACTCCTCCATGTTAACGCCTCCCTCTTCCCCTCCTTTCCTTGCAACCTGGTTGCCTCTCACAGCAGTGAAACAGAAAGCTGTTTCCTCAGCCCATAACCAACTGTAACTTTGAATCACAGTGCACCCTTGGCCGTGGCCACCTCCTCCTTCAATTTAACTCCCTGCCTTGATCTGCCATCTCTGGCATGCTCTACTTACATTCACTCCTCCTCTTCATGTGTTTCTGGGCTGCTTTGCCAACTCTTCTTCCTCTGCTGCCCTCATACATCCAGGCAGAGGAGCACAGCTTCTGCCTTGGCCTCCTGCCTTAGTTCTAACTGGTGTCCCCTGAGCATCTCAAGCCCCCAGACTGGAGCCTGTGTCCTGGGGTTAATTCCCTTCCCCACCTATGGAGGCTTAGCTCCTGCCCACCAGTGGGGTTATCACAAGTGCCTGCCTTTTCCTCACACTCTGCCTCTTACAGGGTTTCCGTAGGCTGGCCATTTGTGAGTTGTGTGACCCTGGACCTCAGTGTCCTCCCATAGAAAACAAGGAGCATGAACTAGATTTATCTCTAGTGTCCTTTCTAGGTGTTTCTTTCTTTCTTTATTTTTAAACAAGATCTCACTCTGTCACCCAGGCTGGAGTGCAATGACACTAACATGGCTCACTGCAGCCTCAACCTCCTGGGTTCAAATGATTCTCCTGCCTCAGCCTCCCAAGTAGCTGGGACCACCACTCCCAGCTAATTTTTTTATTCTTTGTAGAGATGGGGTTGCAATGTTTCCCAGGCTGGTCTCGAACTCCTGGGCTCCTAAGAATTTTAACATTTGAGTTTTCTTCCAACAAAGAGGTGGAGGAAAATATAACTTTATATAAACATGTATAAACCCTGCTTCCCACTTTAATTAAGCCATAAATTCCTGCGGCAGCTAGGGATGTGAAGAGGCAAGTGAGAAGAGGAAATGTGCATAAGACTCCCAGCAGCTTGGAAGTAAACAGGGAGGACTGAAGTGACCCTGTTGCTCCGAAGGTGGCTGTTCATTAGCCTCCTTCTGTCCTTAGACCCAGCTGGAGCATTGCATGCACTGGCTCCCAGGTTGCAGGGGATGTCAGCAGCTCCAGCTCATCCGATTGAAGGAGGCCATGTGGCTTTCCCTGGACTTTCTGCTTGAACAGTGAATCCCTGTAGGGCCTGGATCCATTGCCCTCTTCTCCTCCCACCCCACCCAAGCACTCTTCTTCATGAGTTTGCTTTCTCCTATCTTTTTTTCCTCCACTTTTCCTTCAAAAATTGTTGATTAAGCACCTGCCATGGGCCAGACATTTTTCTAGAGTAACACCTCAATGAGCAGACAGGTTCTTGTTCTCATAGATCTTCCATTTTAGAGAGAAAGCTGAACGATAAACAAATAATACAGCAGGTGGTGAGGGGTGTTATAAAGAAGGATGAGCAGGGTAAGTGGGTGAGAAAATGTGCTACTTTGTCCTCTAGAGGCCAGGGAAAGCCTCTCTGTTTAGGTGATATTTGACAGAGATTTGAAGGCACTGAAGGAGTGAGCCATTTGGATCTCTAGGGAAAGAGCATTCTTCCCCAGACAGAGAACAGCAAGTGCAAAGGCCATGATGAAGAAGGGAGCTTGGCCAGAGTGAGGGACACAAACGGCAGCCTACGGTGCATGCACATCTTAAGAGATGAGGTTCCTGGTGCCCTTTGACTGCCTCAGAGATCCCGTGCTCACAACACACAGCACCAATCATCCTAAAATACATCTATGCTATAGAAACTTGTCCCAAAATATCCTTTCATAATGATTTACCTTCTGGTATCCCACCCATGAAAGCAGAAATTTCCTGCTTTCTCCTAATAATTACTAATAATTCTCCTAATAATTACTAATCTGTCTCCTCCCCCAAAATGTAAGGCCAAGAAGAGCATGGACTTGGCCTATTCATTCACTGCTCTATGTTCGGCTCCTATTTCAGTGCTAAAAACCAAGTGGGCCCTCAATAAATATTTTTGTGAATTTATTTATTTATTTATTTTATTTTTTGAGACGGAATCTCTCTCTTCCGCCCAGGCTGGAGTGCAGTGGTGCGATCTTGGCTCGCTGCAACCTCCGTCTCCTGGGTTCAAGGGATTTCTGGCTAATTTTTGTATTTTTAGTAGAAACAGGGTTTCACCATGTTGGCCAGGCTGGTCTCGAACTCCTGACCTCAAATGATCCATCCACCTTGGCCTCCCAAAATGCGGGGATTACAGGCGTGAGCCACCGCACTTGGCCAGCCCTCAATAAATGTTTATTTTCTAGATGAAATGGGGAATCTAACTAAGCTACATGGTAATGAGGCAGCTGACTTTCTTGGAAGCAGAAGACCTAATTCTAGATGTGGTGACATAAAAGCAATAAAGGAAGGACCTCTATAAATCACTCATGGAGCTGAGCCTCAGCTCTCAAAATGTTGGATTAGAACTAGGGATGGCAAAATCCTGTTACAGGCACAACAACTCACCCCCTCCCTTCCATGCCCACTAGACTCTCTAATGAAGCGTGGCTGTCTCTCTCTGGAAAAAACTATGGAATTCTTCCCACCCAATGCTCCTAGCAGCCACAACCAAAGGGTCAGAGGTGACCCTTACAATGAACCCAATTTGCCATCCCTCAATTAGATGTTTAAGATTCCTTTCCACTTTAATATCCTGTGGTGCAAATCTAAGCAAGCCTGCTTGTTTGGCCACATGGAGGTACATGTTCCTGCAAAATCAACCCCAAGAAATCCTGTTGCTCACAGGTAAGCAGGTAACCCCTGCTTCCATAGCAGAGGCAGTCACTAGTAGTACTTGCTTCAATTGGGACAAATATTTTTCACCCGGAAACTAATTCAAGGCTACCTTTTTCAGACTCCTTTGAAGGCTGCTAGAATTGGTCCCTTGAGTAAGCTGAGTGTTGTGGTGCCCCTCAGTTCCCATGCCATAGAAGCTCGAACCTCATTCATTAATACACTAGCCCTAAGGCTTGAAACCAGTCTGGCCTGGCTTGGAGCCTTTAGATCACTCTCTAGCTTCTGGCCAATAAGAATGAGCTTCTAGGCCAGGCATGGCGGCTCACGCCTGTAATCCCAGCACTTTGGGAGGCCGAGGCAAGTGGATCACTTGCATCCAGGAGTTCAAGACCAGTCTAGGCAACATAGTGAAACCCCATCTCTACAAAAAAATACAAAAAATTAACCGGGCGTGGTGGCATGGGCCTGTAGTCTCAACTATTCAGGAGGCTGAAGTGGGAGGATCGCTTGTGTGGGGAGGTCAAGGCTGCAATAAGCTCTGATGACACCACTGTACTCCAGCCTGCATGACAGACTAAGGCTGGAGTGCAGTCTCAAAAAACAAAACAAAACAAAACAAAACAAAAAACCTGCAGCCTGCACCACTCCTACTGGTAGGCTTGCTCTGATATCAGCACTTCAAGCAGGTGATAACACTATGAGGTTTATTTTTAATTGCTAGGTGTGGTGGTTGTATTTCCTTAGAGTAAAAATGCACTTCCTTCCTCCCTTTGAAGTGAGATGTGGACCTGTGATTTGATCTGGCCAAGAAAGTGTGACCGAAAATGACCTGGACACTTCCAATGGGAGCTTTAAAAGCCAGTGCACGATTTATCACTTATCCTTTTTCTGCTTCAGTCATCGTAGAAGCCCAGGTCAGGATGGAACTCCCACCAGCCTGGATTGCTGATTAAGTATGCTCCATGTTAGAGCAAAAATATAAGTTGTTTTAAACCACAGAAATTTGGAGGTGGTTTCTTATTACAACATAACTAGTCTCTATTGACTGATACTCCATGGTGTAAGATTAGTCATGGGATTTTTCTAGCTCAGAGTTTCTCAATTTTGGTAGGATTGACGTTTGGGGTTAGTTATTGCTTTCTTGTGGGGACCATCCTGTGCATTGCAGGATGTTAAGTGGCCTCCCTAGCCTTTACCCACTAGACACCAGCAGCACCCCATCCCAAGTTGTGACCATCAAAAATCCCTCAACAGTATGATTCCACTTATTTGAGGTACCTAGAGTAGTCAAAATCATGGAGACAGAAAGTCAAATGATGGTTGTCAGGGGCTGGGAGAAGAGGGAAATGGCGAGTTAGTGTTAATGGGTACAGAGTTACAGTTTTGCAAAATGAAGAGAGTTCTATGGATGGATGGTGGTGATGGTTGCACATCAGTGTGAAGGTGCTTAGTGCCACTGAACTATACACATGAAAATGGTTCAAATGGCTAATTTTATGTTATGTGCTTTGCCACAATTTTTGAAAATGGAAAAAAAAATGTCTCCAGACATTGCCAATGTCCCCTGGAAAGCAAAATCACCCCTGGTTGAGAACTAGTGTTCTAGCGGTAGTGCAACACATTCAATTGTAAAATACGTGTAAAAACGTGGGCTTAGGGCTCAGCCCTGCTTTTTGCCATTGAGGGTTAGAATCTCATCTCTCCTAAAATATTTTTTATCCACTCAGATTTTAGGCCAGGATCAACAGGACAATTGAACGGTTTGATCTAGAAAAAGCCCCTGTCTATGGACCCAAAACTGGTGTGATATGAATACACTCTGTAAAAACTCTTACACTGTTTTAAGCTTTACATCTGATAAACAGAGCACAGTAGAGACTCCATTTGGGATAATTTTTCCTGAAACCTACTTGTTTTTCATGCTGTTTCTGCAGTTAAGGTGCCTGGTCTTAAAATGTGTTGAAGCAAAAGAATGGGAAGAGCCAAGGGACACATCAGGGAGTTTCCAAATGACAGAACTGCAAACCTGCAGGGCAGTCCTCTGCTGCGGAAGAGGGAGCTTACACTCTGAATGCATCTTGAGGAGTATTCTCCATACCTGAGGAATAAATTAAGGCTAACAAGGGGGCCTAAATGGTGATTGGCTCTGCTCTTGACCAATTGAATCCCATGCTCGGACTGAGGCAGCAGAGGGCTTCTTACACCCACCTCCACCACCATCACCCTGCCTAAGTCATCTCAGAGAATCCTCTTTCTATCTCAGTATTGGGCCTACATTCTTATGCTTCAGCCCTTTTCCATAATGACCCCTCCAGATTGCCACACTCTAGAACCACTACAGAGGGTGGCGTTACTGCTGTATGGACACTTCATCTCAAAGTGAGGGGCCAGCTCACATGATTTGCAGGGTTCCTTTCTCTGGCCTTCTAAAACATTCTCCAGGTTGAGGCTGAAACTGCTCCCCCAAAGCCCCATAATAGGCATGAACAGATTATCCTCCTCTTCTTGGTTCTCATGGCTAGAATCCTTAACTAATCCTCTCCCCACAAAGTAGGGTTGATTTCACAAGCTGTTATTTCAGCTGCTTGTTCTGCCATCTGCTCTTGATTTGCTTGGTGAACACCTCCAGCGTGCTTGGAGCTGCACTGTCACGCTTCGCCCCAATCAGCTTCTGGCCCCCCACACTCAAACACATCTGCATCGGCACACCCCTCCCACGCCCCAGTTCTGCCCACAATGGATCCATCCATCTGTGCTCCAGGCCCCAGCCCCTTGGGAGCTTGCGCTATCAATTACTTGCACTTAGTTCAGAATCTTTAGCCACTCCATGTCCATGGTTATTTCATTTATTCAATGTAGTAACATGTTTAAACCTCTCCCGTCCTGGAAAAAAAAAGTCCTACATTTAACCCTATCTCCCTCTTTAGCTTAAAGTCATCTGTAATCTTCCTTGCCATTTATTTACTCCATGTCCCAGGTTGAACAGTATCCACACACCCCCAAAAATTCATGTTCTCCCTAGGAATCTTAGAATGTGACTTTATTTGGAAATAGGGTTGTTGCAGATGTAATTGGTTAGGAGTGGACACTTAATCCACTATGACTGGTGTCGGTGTCCTTAGAAGAAGAATAGAGGGAACGCAGAGGCACACACAGAGAGGAGGCCATGTGATGATGGGGGCGGAAACTGGGGTGATGCATCTACAAGCCAAGGAATGTCAGGGCTTGCAGGAAACCCCAGAAGCGAATGGAAAGGCATGGAGCAGATTCTTCCTAGCATCTTCAGAGAGAGCATGGTGCTGCCAACACCTCGTTTTGAACTTCTAGCTTCCAAAACTGTGAGAGAAAAAATTTCTGTTGTTTTAACAAGACACCCAGTTTCTGGTATTTTGTGACAGCAGACCTAGAAACAGAATATACCCTTTAAACCACCACAGTTTTCCTTTTGGTTCCAAGATTCTTTCGTGTATGACCTGCGAGAGCCAAATCCAGTCTTTAGTTGGCCTCTCTGGAGCACGTGCAACTCATTTATTCCTTATTGATGCTTCTCCCCCACATCCTTCTCGGCCTCCTTCATTGCTTCCTAATCTCACAGCCAGCTACCGCATACTGGAGTCCCTGGGTTCATCACCACCTTTTCCCACTCTGTTCATGCTCCACTGCAATCTCATCCAAATACCAGCTCTCCTCCCACCCTCATGCTGATGATTCCCCAAGCCCTCTGGCCTAAGCCTCTCTCCTGAGATCTACTTTGAGTTCCCCACTGCCTCCTGGACATTTCCACCTAGAACTTGTACAAGCACTTCAAAAACTACATGGCTAAAATGGAAGTCATGGTCTAGAAGCCTCCTTCCCAAATAAACCTGCTTTTCCTCCTGTAACCTGCATGTCAATGAGAGGCTTCACGTTCACACAGGGGCATAAGCCAGACACCTGGCATCTTCTTGGGCTTCTCCTCTGCACCCTTGGCCGTGGTCACTGAAGCCAAAGGACTCTGCCCATAAGGGTTTGGGGAATGTATCCTCTGCATCCCTGCTGCAGCTGCTTCAGCTCAGCCTCTTACCACCTCTTGTGGCTAGCGGAGACCTCCACTACACCAGACTTTCATGCTGCTCTGGGAGCACTTTCCTATACCATCTTGTTTTAAGCCATTCCCCTGCTTCGAATGCTTCAGGGTTTCCTGGTCACCTGCAGGATGATGTCCTTAGCATTCCTCCACTTGGAATAACAATGCCTTGTAGCATCTGGCTTTCAGGAGTTTAGAGTGGAGGGGCTCTGCATTCAACTCCAGGACCTACCACATACTTGGTGCGTGGCCCTGGGCAACATACTTACTCTCTCTGTGCCTCAGATTCCTCACCTGAAAATGGGGATAATAATAGTACCTACCTCATAGGGTTGTTGTAAAGATTAAATGAGCAAATATGTTCAGAGTACCCGGAACTGTGTCCAGCATGTCGTAAGTGGGCACTAAATATTAACTGCTGTTGCTGTTAAGTATTACCTTTCCCCACTCATTTCTGTACAGCTTCCCATGTGCGTTGTTTTCCAGCCGATCAGAACACTCTTCCATCTTAGAAGAAAAAAAAAAAAGCCCTACCTGTGTTCCCCTGGCTCTTGGCCTTGACACACACTGTCTGGAATACCTTTCCCACCACCTCTCATCTCATGCTCCCTATGAACATACTTCAACTCATCTTTTCTAACCTAAGTACCCTCCCCTGCAGTCAAGCATGCTCTTCACTGAACCTTCGTAAGGCCCTTGTGCTCACCTCTATTGCAGCACAGATCACACTGCATTATAAAGGACCATCTCCTGTCTCTCTGTCCATCTTTCAGAGTTTGCTGTATTGATCTTAGTGACGTCAGCACGTGGCACTCAGCTAGACAAAGAAAGCAGGCTCAATAAAGGCTGGTAGAATTAAGTAAAGAATTGTATAAAGGCATTAAATAGAGATGGGGTACAAATATGTCCCAGGCTTCCTGGGATAGTCCTGGTTTAGGCCATGGTCCTGATATAATTACTAACAACACCCTCTTTCACTGTCAAAAATATCTCCTTTGGACAATACATTATAAGGTCACTCTAGGTATTAGAGCTGTGATTCTCACCCTATCAGGCCCAATTTTCTCTTTGCTTAACAGCTATTTTAGAATACCCTATGCACTATCTTTAAATGGGATTGATAGGCAATAGAAACTGCCAATAACAGAATTTCAAAAAAACCAATGTAATACCCTAAATAGAATGCTAAATGGAAAATGAAGGAGATTTTTTAAAAAGTAGCTTAAACTAAAATTATGTGTGCAGTATTTTGATGTGTAAATGCTTAGGTCTTACACTTCTGGCCAAGATAGAGTAACAGAGACCAAAATTACTTTCTGACCTAAAACAACAAAACTACTGGACAAAATATATGAAACTATGGCCCTCAAGCAACAAAGGGAATCAATCACTGGAATCAAGCATCAAAGGGCAGTGATCCTCAAGAGATGAGAAACAAATGAGGCTAGCCCCACAATTGACCTCCCTAACACCTTAGAAAACTTTCCAGGCCACAGCACAGGAAGAAAGAATGCAGATGGAACTCAGAGATCTTCCTGAGTTGAGAAGACAGAACTGTGAGCCTGGGAAGGCCAATGTGGCTAGAATTCATAGGGCAGAATATTGAGGAGGAGAGGGCTGTACAGAGACAGAGCTCTGGAAATCTGAAGATAATACTTACCCTCCTTGACTGTTTAACAGAGTAGTGACCAGAGTATGCAGGTATGAAAATCGCCTGAGAGGCTGGACCCGGTGGCTCGCACCTGCAATCCCAGCACTTTGGGAGGCTGAGGTGGGTGGATCACAAGGGCAGGAGATAGAGACCATCCTGGCAAACATGGTGAAACCCCATCTCTACTAAAAATACAAAAATTAGCTGGGTGTGGTGACACACGCCTCTAGTCCCAGCTACTCAGGAGGCTGAGGCAGGAGAATCTCTTGAACCTGGGAGGCAGTGGTTGCAGTCACCCGAGATCGAGCAAAGCATGGGCAACAGAGCAAGACTCAGTCTCAAAAAAAAAAAAAAAGAAAGAAAGAAAAAAGAAAACTGCCTGAGAATGGAAAAAGAATCATCCACGAAGAGAGCCAGCCCCTCTTCCCCCCTGGCTCTTCGGACCCCGATCGCAGGGTGGGGAGGCACCTCGCGAGGCGGAGACTGAGAGCCAGCACCTCTTCCCCCACTGGCTCTTGGGATCCCCATAGCAGTGGGGGAGGCACCCCCCGCGAGGAGGGGACTGACAGCCAGCCCCTCTTCCCCACCTGGCTCTGAGGATCCGCGATGGACTCACAGCCTGTTTACCATATTGTGAGTAATATCATCTCCACCTCTGGAGATTACGAACTCCTTCACAGACGGGTGTACACCCTCGGTGTACAGAGGGTGTACATCCGTCTGTATTGGGAGTAACATCATCTTCTTCCTCCCTGAATATTAAGAACACTATCAAAGGGGTGTTTCTACTACCTGCGATATCGCGTGTCATATCCTCCCCTCCCACGCTGCATTAAAAACAATATCAGTGGGGGCGTGTCCATCTGTAGGGAAAAGAAAGAGAGATCAGACTGTCACTGTGTCTATGTAGAAAGGAAAGGAGGCACCCCCCGCGAGGCGGTGACTGAGAGCAAGCCCCTATTCCCCCAGTGGCTCTTACGACCCCCATCGCAGGGGGAGGAGGCACCCCCCGCGAGGCGGGGACTGAGAGCCAGCCCCTCTAAGCCTTCTGGCTCTTCGGACCCCCATCACAGGGCGGGGAGGCACCCCCCGCGAGGCGGGGTCTCAGAGCCAGCCCCTCTTCCCCCACTGGCTCTTAGGACCCCCATCGCACTGGGGGGAGTCACCCCCGCGAGGCGGGGACTGAGAGCCAGCCCCTCTTCCCCCGCTGGCTCTGAGGATCCTCCGTGGACTCACAGCCTCTTTACCATATTGTGAGTAATATCATCTCCCCCTCTGGAGATTACGAACTCTTTCACAGACAGGTGTACACCCTCGGTGTACAGAGGGTGTACACCCGTCTGTATTGGGAGTAATATCATCCTCTTCCTCCCTGAATATTAAGAACAGTATCACAGGGGTGTTTCTACTCCCTGCGATATCGCGTGTCATATCCTCCTCTCCCACGCTGCAATTAGAAGGAATATCAGTGGGGGCGTGTCCACCTGTAGGGAAAAGAAAGAGAGATCAGACTGTCACTGTGTCTATGTAGAAAGGAAAGACATAAGAGACTCCATTTGGAAAAAGACCTGTCCTTTAAACAATTGCTTTGCTGAGATGTTGTTAATTTGTAGCTTTGCCCTAGCCGCTTGGCCCCAGCCACTTTGACCCAACCTGGAGCTCACAAAAACATGTGTTGTATAAAATCAAAGTTTAAGGGATGTAGGGCTGTGCAGGACGTGCCTTGTTAACAAAATGTTTACCAGCAGTATACTTGGTAAAAGTCATCGCCATTCTCTAGTCTCAATAAACCAGGGGCACAATGCACTGTGGAAAGCCGCAGGGACCTCTGCCCTTGAAAGCAGGGTATCGTCCAAGCTTTCTCCCCATGTGATAGTCTGAAATATAGCCTCATGGGATGAGAAAGACCTGACTGTCCCCCAGCCCGACACCCGTAAAGGGTCTGTGCTGAGGTGGATTAGTAAAAGAGGAAAGCCTCTTGCAGCTGAGGTGGAGGAAGGCCACTATCTCCTGCTTGCCCCTGGGAACTGAATGTCTCGGTGTAAAACCCGATTGTACATTCGTTCAACTCTGAGATAGGGGAAAAGCTGCCCTGTGGCGGGAGGCGAGACATGTTTGCAGTAACACTGCCTTGTTATTCTTTACTCCACTGAGATGTTTGGGTGGAGAGAAACAAATCTGGCTTACGTGCACGTCCAGTCATAGTACCTTCCCTTGAACCTAATTATGACATAGATTCTTTTGCTCACATGTCTTCTGCAGACTCTCTCCTTATCATCACCCTGCTTTCCTACTACATTCCTTTCTGCTAAAATAATGAAAATCATAATCAATAAAAACTGAAGGAACTCAGAGGCTGGTGCCGGTGCAGGTCCTTGGTGTGCTGAGCGCCGGTCCCCTGGACCCACTGTTGTATCTTTACACTTTGTCTCTGTGTCTTATTTCTTTTCTCAGTCTCTCCTCCCACCCACCCAACTAGAAATACTCACAGGTGTGGAGGGGCAGTCCACCACTTCATCCACCTTCTGTCATATTGAAAGTAACATCATCTTCTTCCCTCCAGGATCGTGGGAACAATATCCCTGGGAGGTTTCCACTTTCTGCCATGTATGTAGTCATATCACCCCCTCCGCCGTGGAATATTATTAAGGACCATCTCACACGGGGGTGTATACTTCCTCCGATATTGGGAGTGACATCAACCTCTCGGTCTCTGAATATGAGGAAGAAAATCACAGGGCGGGTGTACACCTCGTGCTCTACGATGGGGAGTCATATCTGTCTATTACGGGGAGTAATATCATCCTCTCCCTTTCAGGATATAAATAACGATTTAACAGGCTGGGTGAACACAGCCTGCGATGCTGAAATTATTATCATCCTCTCCCCCTCTTCCTCCCCTGGCTCTTAGGATGCCCATCGCAGGGGAGCGAGCCACCCCCCGCAAGGCGGGGACTGAGCCAGCCCCTGTTCCCCCCCTGGCTCTTAGGACCCCCGTCGCAGGAAGGGGAGGCACTCCCCGCGAGGCGGGGACTGAGAGACAGCCCCCCTAAGCCTTCTGGCTCTTAGAACACCCATCACAGGGCGGGGAGGCACCCCCCGCGAGGTGGATACAGAGAGCCAGCCCCTCTTCCGCTCCTGGCTCTTAGGACCCCCATCGCAGGGGGAGGAGGCACCCCTCGCGAGGCGGGGACTGAGAGCCAGCTCCTCTTCCCCCCGTGGCTCTTAGGATCCCCATCGCAGGGGGTGAGGCACCCCCCGCGAGGCAAGGACTCAGAGTCAGCCCTTCTTCCCTCCCTGGCTCTTAGGACGCCCATCGCAGTGGGGGGATGCACCCCTCGCGAGGCGCGGAATTAGAGCCAGCCGCTCTTCCCCCCTGGCTCTTGGGACCCCCATCGCAGGGTGGAGGCACCCCCCGCGAGGCGGGGACTGAGAGCCAGCTGCTTTTCCTCCCCTGGCTCTTGGGACCCCTTCCCTCCCTGGCTCTTGGGACCCCCATCGCAGGGGGGGGAGGCACCCCCCGCGAGGCGGGGACTGAGAGCCAGCCGCTCTTCCCCCCGGCTCTTGGGACCCCCATCGCAGGGGGGTGGCACCCCCCGCGTGGCGGGGACTGACAGCCAGCCCCTCTTCCCTCCATTTTTCTTAGGACCCCCATAGCAGGTGGGGAGGCACCCCCCGTGAGGCGGGGACTGAGAGCCAGCCGCTCTTTCCCCCCTGGCTCTTAGGACCCCCATCGCAGGCGGGGGAGGCACCCCCCGCGAGGCGGTGTCTAAGAGCCAGCCCTTCTTCCCCGCCCACCTCTGAGGATCCCCATCACACGGGGGAGGCACACCCCGCGAGGCGGGGACTGAGAGCCAGTCCCTCTTCCTCCCGTGGCTTAGGACCCCCATCGCGGATTCTAAGATCCTTAGGACCGACCTGGAGGACTGTGGGTATTAGGTGTCCAAGAAGAAAATTCAGATCTGCCGACGACCGCAGGTACCTTACTTGGGATTTACTATTCGACAGGTGTCCGAAAGCAGCCCGGGATCCGAAAGAAAGCAGGTCATTTGCAATCTACCGAAGCCTAAAGGCACAAGGGTGGTGAGAGAATTCCTAGGAGCTGTGGGGTTTTGTAGACTGGGAATCCCAAACTTTGCAGTATTAGCCAAGCCTTTGTATGAGGTCACAATGGGGGCGGGGACCGGGAACTTTTGGAATGGGGATTCCAACAACAGCAAGTCTTTCATGACTTAAAGGAAAAACTTCTGAAAGCCCCAGCCGAGGGGCTACCCGATCTCACAAAGCCTTTTCCATTGTATGCGTCAGAGAGAAAAGATGGCAGCTGGACTTTTAACCCAAACTGTGGGGCCTTGGCTGAGGCCGGTGGCCTACATCTCTAAACAACTAGATAGGGATTCGAAAGGATGGCCCCCCTGTTTGAGGGCCTTCGCAGCAATTCCCTTGCTAGAACCAGATGCAAATAAGCTTACTCTTGGGCAAAACCAGAACAGAAAGGCCCCCCATGCTGTGGTGACTGAGAGCCAGCTCCTCTTCCCCTACTGGCTCTTAGGACCCCCATCGCAAGGGTGCGAGGCACCCCCGGCGAGGCGGGGACAGAGAGCCAGCCCCACTTCCCCCCCTTGCTCTTAGGACCCCCATCGCAGCGGGGTGAAGGACCACCCGCGAGGCAGGGACTGAGAGCCAGCCCCTCTTCCCCCCCTGGCTATTAGGACACCTATCGCAGGGGGGAGAGGCACCCCTCGCGAGGTGGGGACTGAGAGCCAGCCCCTTTTCACCCCCTGGCTTTTAGGACCCCCATCGCAGCACGGGGAGGCATCCCCCGCGAGGCGGGGACTGAGAACCAGCCCCTCTTCCCCCGCTGGCTGTTGGGACCCCAATCGCAGGGGGGGGAGGCATCCCCCACGAGGCGTGGACTGAGAGCCAGCCCCTCTTCCCCCCCTGTCTCTTGGGACCCCCATCGCAGGCGGAGGAGGTACCCCCGGGAGGAGGGGACTGAGAGCCAGCCCCTCTCCCCTCCCTCGGTCTTGGGACCCCCATGGGAAGGGGTGGAGGCACCTCCCGCGAGGCGGGGACTGAGAGCCAGCCCCTCTTCCCTCCCTGGCTCTTGGGACCCCCATCGCAGTGGGGGGAGGCACCTCCCGCGAGGCGGGGACTGAGAGCCAGCCCCTCTTCCCCCCCCCCGGCTCTTAGGACCCCCATCGCAGTTGGGGGAGGCACCCCCCGCGAGACAGGGACTGCGAGCCAGCTCCTTTCCCCCCCTGGCTCTTAGGACCCCCATCGCAGGAGGAGGAGGCACCCCCCGCGAGGCGGGGACTGAGAGGCAGCCCCTCTTCCCCCGTGGCTCTTGGGACCCCCATAGCAGAGGGGGGAGGCATCCCTCGCGAGTCGGGGAATAAGAGCCAGGCCCTCTTACCCCACTAGCTCTTAGGACCCCCATCGACGGGACCCCCCTTGATGCGGGGTGTAATAGCCAGCCCCTCTTCCCCCCCTGGCTCTTAGGACCCCCATCGCAAGGGGTTGAGACACCCCCCGCGATGCGGGGAGTAAGTGCCAGCCCCTCTTCCCTCCCTGGTTTTTAGGATCCGCGGTGGACTCACAGCCTGTTTACGATATTCGGAGTGATATCATCTCCCCCTCTGGAAATTATAAACTATTTCACAGATGGGGGTAGACCCTCGGTGTGCAGAGGGTGTACAGCCGTCTGTTTTGGGAGTAATATCATCGTCTTCCTCCCTGAATATTAAGAACAGTATCACAGCTGTGTTTCTACTGCAGGTGTGATTGGGCGTCACATCCTCCTCTCCCACGTGGAAATTAGAACCGATATCAGTGGGGGCGTGCACACCTTCTGTGATATTTAAAGTGATATCATCCTCTTCCCTCCAGGATCATGAGAACAATATCCCTGGGGGTGTACACTTTCTGCGATTTTGGGAGTAATATCTCCCCCTCCGCCTTGGAATATTATTAAGGACCATCTCACACGGGGGTGTACACTTCCTGCCATATTGGGAGTAATATCGACCTCTCGGCCTCTGAATATTAGGAACAATATCACAGGGTGGGTGTACACCTCCTGCTCTGTTATGGGGAGTAATATCTATCTATTACGGGGAGTAATATCATCCTCTCCCTTTCAGGATGTTAATAACAATATCACAGGGTGGGTGATCACAGCCTGCGATACTGGAATTATTATCATCCTCTCCCCCTCGGGATACCAGGAACAATATCACAGAAGAGGTGTACACTCCCTGCGATTTTGGAAGTAATATCCTACGCTTCTTCCGTGAATACTAGGAGCAATATCACCGGGTGGCTGTACATTCATTGCTATGTTGGGAGTCATGTCATACTCTACTCCCTGGATATTAGGATCAGTGTCACAGGGTGAGTGTACACCTACTGAGATATTAAAACTAATATCATGCTCTCCATCCCTGGATATTAGGAACAATATCACGGGTAGGTGTACACCCCCTGCGGTATTAGGAGAAATAATACGATTAATTATTAAGCATCAATCTTAATAATATTATTAATTGTTAAACATCAGTCTTAATAATTATCAATGGTAATATTAATTAATAGTATAACGTTATTAATCATTAATGATTATTTTAAATGTACAATTATGCATGATTAAAATTATCTGTATTAATGTCATTTTTCAATAATATTAGTTATTAATCTTAATATTAATTATTGTTTTATTACCAACATCACTTATGACTGATTTATGTAACATTGATTAATAATATCATTATTTTATTATTAATAGTGATATTGCTATTATTAATAGTAATTGTTAATATTTTTATCCATATTCACTTTTACTATCTCTATTGCAATTATTAATATCGATGATTACTATTAATTATTAATATATTTATTAATATTAATAATTAATATAACTGTTCCCGATATCTGTGGGGGAGAGGATATTACTCCCGATGTCGCTGAAAGTGTACACCCCTCTATGATGTTTCTCCTAATTGCCAGGACGTAGAGGATGACATTATTGAAAATGTCGCTGCGGGTGTACCTCCGTTCAGTCATCTTGTTCCTAATGTCCTGGGTGGGAGCGGATGATATGACTCCCAATATCGCAGGGGGCGTAGACATCCCCCGTGATACTGTCCCTAACGTCCAAAGGTGGAGAGGATGATATTTCTTCCAATTTCGCAGGGGGTGTACACCACCCCTATGATATTGATCCTAATATCCAGGGGGCGAGAGGATGATCTTAGTCTCACTATTGCAGGAGGTGTACACTCCCTAGGGATATTGTTCCTAATACTCAGGGATGGAGAGGAAGATCTCATTCCCAATATAGCAGGGAGTGGACACCCCTTCTGTGACATTGTTCCTAATAGCCAGCGGGGCAGAGGAAGATATTACCCCCAATATCGCAGGGGGTGTGCGCCCCCTTGTGACATTGTTCCTTATATCCTGGGAGGGAGAGGATGATACTGGTGGCAATGTCGCAGCGGCTGTACACACCCACTGTGATATTGTTCCGAATATCCCGAGGGGGAGAAAATGATATTACTCCCAATATCGCACGGGGTGTACATCCTCCCGTGATATTGTTTCTTATATTCAGGGGGAGAGGATGATATGACTCCCAATATCGCAGGGGTTGTGCACACCTCCTGCGATATTGTTCCTAATATCCCGAAGGGGAGAGCCAAATATTACTGTCAATATCGCAGGGGGTGTACACCTCTTTGGTAATATTGTTCTTAATATCCATGATGGGAGAGGATGATATTACTCCCAATATCGCAAGAAGTGTACAGCCGCCTGTGATATAGTTCCTAATATCTAGGTGGAGAGAGGATGATATTACTGCCCATATCGCATGAGTTGTAAAACCCCTTCCATATTTTGCCTACAATCCCGAGGGGAGAGGACGATACTACTCCCAATATCGAAGAAGGTGTACAACCCCCTGGGACATTATTGCCAATATCCACGTTGGGAGACGATGACATTACGCCCAATATCGCAGGGGATGTACACCCACCCCGGGATATTGTTCCTTATATAGAGAGGGGGAGGGGATGATATTACTCCCAATATCGCAGGGGCTGTACACCCCTCCTGTGATATTGTTCTTAGTATCCTAGGAAAGAGAGGATGATACTACACCCAATATCTCAGGGGGTGTACACCCACCTCCTTCAGATATTGTTCTTAATGTACTCCACCTCCCCTGACCAGGGATGTTGTTCCTCATATCCAGGGGAAGAGAGGCTAATATCACGCCCAATATCGCAGGGGGTGTACACAACCTCTGTGATGTTGTTCCTAGTATCCAAAGGTAGAGACGATGATATTACTGGCCATATCGCAGAGGGTGTACGCCCGTCTGTGATATTGTTTTTGATATTCAGTGGGGGGAGAGGATTACATTAATCCCAACATGGCAGAAGGTGTACAGACCCCGTGATATAGTTCCTAATGTACAGGGAGAAGAGAATAACATTACTCTCAATATCGCAGGGAGCGTAACCCCCACGACCCCGGAAATGGTTCCTAATGTACAGGGAGAAGAGAATAACATTACTCTCAATATCGCAGGGAGTGTAACCCCCACGCCCCCCGTATATTGTTCCTAATATGCAGCGGGGTAGAGGCTGATATTACTCCCAATATTGCAGAAGATGCACACACACCTGTGATATACTTCCTAATATCCAGCGGGAAAAGGCTGATATTACTCTGGATCTCGCAGTGGGTGTACACCCCCAAGCCCCCCCGGGGTATTGTTCCTAATATCTAGGTGGGAAGACGGTGATATTGCTGACAATATCGAAGGGGGTGTACAACTCTTCTGTGATATGGCTCCTGATATCCAGGGGGTGAGTGGATGATATTACTCTCAATAAAGTAGGAACTGTACACCACCCTGTGATTTTGTCCTTAATAACCACATGGGGAGAGGTGATATTACTCCCAATATTACAAGGGGTGTACACCTCGTCTGTGATATTTTTTCTTGTATCCAGGAAAGGACAAGATGATATTACGACCAGTATCGAAGACATGTACAGCCCCATGGGATATTGTTCTAAATATACAGCTTGAAAAAGGATCCGATGACTCCCAATATAAGAAGGGGTGCACACCCCGCCTGTGATATGAATCGTAAAATCTAGAAGAAGAGTGAATGACATTGCTTTCAAAAACACACGGGGTGTACACCCCGACTCTGATGTTGTTCCTATCATGTAAAGGAAGAGATGATGATATTACTCCCAATACCGCAGAAGGTATATACCCCCTGTGATACTGTGCGTCACAACTAGTGGGGGAGAGCATGATATTACTTCAAATATGACAGCGGCTTTACACCCCATCTGAGATATTAATCCTAATTTCCAGTAGCAAAAGTAGGATGTGCCTCCGAATAGGCCTGTGATATTTCCCCGACTATTTAGGGAAACACAGGATGACATGACCCCAAATGCCGCAAAAAGTGTACACCCATTGTGTGATATGGTCCGTATATGCGGAGGTGCAGAGGATATTAGTTTTCATATCGCAGGCTGTGTACACACACTCTGTGAAATTGTTCCTAATAGCAGGAAAAAAGAGAATGCTCACAACGGACACAGGTCACATCGCAGGGGTTGAGGCACCCCCCGCGGTATGGGGAGTAAGGGCCACCCCCTTTCCCCCCCAGCTATTTATTATGATCCACATTGCAGGGGTGTGAGGCACCCCCTGAGATATGGGGAGTAAGAGCCACCCCCTTCCCCCACCCCCCGGCTATTTATTACGATCCACATGTCGGGGGTGAGGCACCCTCCGCGATATGGGTAGTAACAGCCACCCCTTCTCCCCCCCCTCGCTATTATGATCCACCTCGCAGTGGGGTGAGGCACCCCCCGCGATATGGGGAGTAAGAGCCACCTCCTCTCCCCCCCCGAGTTATTACGATCCACGGTGGACTCACAGCCTGTTTACTATATTGGGGGTAATATCTCCCCCTCTGGAAATTATGTGCTGTTTGACAGATGGGTGTACACCCTCGGTGTGCAGGTTGTACACCCGTCTGTATTGAGAGTAATATCATCCTCTTCCACCCTGAATATTAAGAACCGTATCACAGGTGTGTTTCTACTCCCTGCGATATTGGGTGTCATATCCTCCTCTCCCACACTGAAATTAGAAACAATATCAGTTGGGGCGTGTACACCTTCTGTCATATTTAAACTAATATCATCCTCTTCTCTCCAGGATCATGGGAACAACATCCCTGGGGGGGGTGTACACTTTCTGCGATAAATGTAGTAATATCACCCCCTCTGCCTTGGAATATTATTAAGGACCATCTCACACGGGGGTGTACACTTCCTGCGATATTGAGAGTAATATCGACCTCTCTGCCTCTGAATATTAGGAACAGTATCACACGGTGGGTGTACACCTCCTGCTCTATTATGGGGAGTAATATCTATCTGTTATAGGAAGTAATATCGTCCTCTCCCTTTCAGGATATTTATAACAATATCACAGGGTGAGTGAACACAGCCTGCGATACTTAATTTTTATCATCCTCTCCCCGGCGGGATACCAGGAACAATGTCACAGAAGAGGTGTACACTCCCTGCGATATTGGGAGTAATATCATACTCTTCTTCCGTGAATATTAGGAGCAATATCACCGGGTGGCTGTACATTCATTGCTATGTTGGGAGTCATGTCATGCTCTATCCCCTGGATATTAGGATCAGTGTCACAGGGTGAGTGTACACCTACTGAGGTATTAAAACTAATATCATGCTCTCCATCCCTGGATATTAGGAACAATATCACAGGTAGGTGTACACCCCCTACGGTATTAGGAGAAATAATATGATTAATTATTAAGCATCAGTCTTAATAATATTACTAATTATTAAACATCAGTCTTAATAATTATCAATGGTAA
The DNA here is from genome assembly GCF_000001405.40 of Homo sapiens. NCBI lineage: Eukaryota > Metazoa > Chordata > Mammalia > Primates > Hominidae > Homo > Homo sapiens. The sequence continues at coordinate 41,114,621 of NC_000009.12, forward strand.
TATTAATTAATAGTATAACGTTATTAATCATTAATGATTATTTTAAATATGATTATGCATGGTTAAAATTAATTATTAGTATTGTCATTTTTCAATATTCGTTATTAACCTTAATATTAATTATTGTTTTATTACCAACATCACTTATTGATTTAATTAAGTAACATTAATTACCGATATCATTATGTTATTATTAATAGTGAGGTTGCTGTTAATTATTAATAGTAAACATTAATATTTTTAATCCGTATTAACTTTTACTATCTTTATAGTAATTATTTATATCGATGATTTCTATTAATTGTTATTATATTTATGAATATTAATACTTAATACAATTGTTCCCGATATCCGAGGGGTAGAGGATGTTACTCCCAATATCACAGAAAGTGTACACCCCTCTATGATGTTATTCCTAATTGCCAGGGAGTAGAGGATGACATTATGAAAAATATCGCAGTGTGTATACATCCCTTCGGTCATCTTTTTTCCTAATATCGTGGGTGGGAGAGGATGATATGACTCCCAATACCGCAGGGGGCGTAGACTTCCCCCGTGATATTGTCCCTATCATCCAAAGGTGGAGAGGATGATATTTCTTCCAGTTTCGCAGGGGATGTACACCACCCCTGTGATATTGATCCTAATATCCAGGGGGCAAGAGGATGATGTTAGTCTCAATATTGCAGGAGGTGTACACTCCCTAGGGATATTGTTCCTAATATCCAGGGACAGAGAGGATGATCTCACTCCCAATGTAGCAGGGAGTGGACACCTCTTCTGTGACATTGTTCCTAATGGCCAGCGGGGGAGGGGAAGATATTACCCCCAATATCGCAGGGGGTGTACACCCCTTGTGACATTGTTCCTTATATCCTGGGAGGGAGAGGATGATACCAGTGGCAATGTCGCAGCGGCTATACACACCCATTGTGATATTGTTCCGAATATCTCGAGGGGGAGAAAATCATATTACTCCCAATATCCCAGGGGGTGTACATCCTCCTGTGACATTGTTCCTTATATTCAGGGGGAGAAGGCGATATCACTCCCAATATCACAGGGGTTGTACACACCTCCTGCGATATTGTTCCTAATATCCCGAAGGGGAGAGCATATTACTCTCAGTATCGCAGGGGGTGTACACCTCCTTTGGAATATTGTTCTTAATATCCATGATGGGAGAGGATGATATTACTCCCAATATCGTAACAAGTGTACAGCCGCCTGTGATATAGTTCCTAATATCTAGGTGGAGAGGATGATATTACTGCCCATATCGCATGAGCTGTAAAACCCCTTCCATATTTTGCCTACAATCCCGAGGGGAGAGGACGATACTACTCCCAATATCGAAGAAGGTGTACACCCCCCTGGGACATTATTCCCAATATCCACGTTGGGAGATGATGACATTACGCCCAATATCGCAGGGGATGTACACCCACCCTGGGATATTGTTCCTTATATCGAGAGGGGGATAGGGTAATATTATTCCCAATATCGCAGGGGCTGTACACACCTCCTGTGATATTGTTCTTAATATCCTAGGAAAGAGAGGATGATACTACACCCAATATCTCAGGGGGTGTACACCCACCTCCTTCAGATATTGTTCTTAATGTACTCCACCTCCCCCGACCAGGGATATTGTTCCTTATGTCCAGGGGAAGAGAGGCTAACATTATGCCCAATATCGCAGGGGGTGTACACACCCTCTGTGATGTTGTTCCTAGTATCCAAAGGTAGAGACGATGATATTACTGGCCATATCGCAGGGGGTGTACACCTCTCTTGTGATACTGTTCTTAATATTTAGGGAGGGAGACAATGATAGTACTGTCCATATTACTGGGGTCACAGCAGCCCCGTGACGTTGTTTTTAATATTCAGTTTGGGAGAGGATGATAATAATTTCAATATAACAGGGGACAACCCCCCTCCGTGATGTTGTCCCTATTGTCCAAGGGAAGAGAAATGATATGACTCACAATATGTCAAGGGGTGTACATCCCCTGTATAATATTCTTCCTAATATCCAGGGGGGATTAGAATGATATTACTCCCAATATCACAGGGGGTGTACGCGACCCCTTTTATATTGTTTCTAATATCTCGGGAGGGAGAGGATGATATTACTCCCAATATTGTAGGGGTGTACATCCCTCCCGTGACATTGTTTTTAATATTTAGGTAGGGAGTGGATGATATTACTCTCAATATCTCAGAGGGTTTACACTCTTCCTGGGATACGGTTTCTAATATTAAGTGGGAGAGAGGATGATATTATTCCCAGTATCGCAGGGGGTGTAGATGTCCTGTTATTTTGTTCCTAATATCCAGGTTGGGAGAGGATGATATTACTGCCTATATCGTAGGAGTTGTACACCCCATCAGTGATATTATTCCTCATATTCAGGGGAAAAGAGAATGACATTACTCCCAATAGCGCAGGAGGTGTACACACCCCTTTGATATTGTTCCTAATACGCAGTGGAGGAGACGATGATGTTACTGGCCATATCGCGAGGGGTGTACACTTCCTCTGTGATATTGTTTTTAATATCCAGGGGTTAGAGGATGACATTACTCCCATGATCGTAGTGGGTGTACGCCAATTCTGTGGTATTGTTCTTAATATCCAGGGAGGGAGAAGATGATATTACTGTCACTATCGCAAGGGGTAGACACTCCTTCTTTGATATGGTTCCTAATATCCAGGGGGGAGAGTATGATATTAATCCCAAAATCGCTGTGGGTATACACCCCTTTCTGATATTGTTCCTAATATGCCGGGGGAGAGTCTATGATATTACTGCCCATATCACAGGGTGTGTACACCAGAACTGCTATATTGTTTCTTATTTCCAGCAATGAAGAAGTTGATATTACTCCCAAAATGGAATGGGCTGTAAACCCCCCATAAGATATTGTTCCTAATATCCAGGGGGAAAAGGATGATATTACTTTCAATGTTGCAGCAGGTGTATAATCTGCCTGTTACATTGTTCCTAATATCTGGGGTGGGGGCGGCGGGGTGAGAACGATATTACTCGCAATATCTCAGAGGGTGTACACTGCCCCTGTGATATTGTTCTAAATATCCGCTGGGGTAGAAAATCATATTACTCCCAATATCGCAGGTGGTGTAAACGCCCCCCGATATTTTTTCTAACATCCAGGTGAGGTAGGATGATATTACTCCCAATATCACAAGCGGTGTACACACCTTCTTTGATATTTTTCCTACTATTTACTTGTGGAGAGGATGATATTACTCCCAGTGTCAAAAGAAGTGTACAAGCCCCCTGTGATATTGTTCCTAATATCCAGGTTAAAAGAGGATGATATTACCCCCAATATCGCAGGGGGTTTGCTGTACACTCCGCCTGTGATATTATTTCTAATATCCAGGGGAAGAGAGAATAATATTACTCCCAATATCGCAGGGGCTGTACACACCTTGTGATATCTTTCCTAATATCAATGAGGGGAGGAGATGATATTACCACAAATATCAGAAGAGGTGTACACCTTTCCTGTGATATTGTTCCTAATCTCCATTTTGGGAGAGGATGATATTACTCACAATATCGCAGGGGTTATACACTTCCCCTGTGATATTATTCCTAATATCCAAGTTGGGAGAGGATGATCTTACTCCCAATATCGCTGGGGGTATACACCCCTTCTGTGATATTGTTCCTAACATCCACAGGGGAAGAGATTAATATTACTCCCAATATCCCAGGGGGTACACATCCCCACTGTTATATTGTACCTAATATCAAGGGGTGGAGAAAATGATATTACTCCCAATAGCGCCGTGTGTATACACCCCTCCTGTGATATTGTCCCTAGTATCCAGGGGCTAAAGATAGATATTACTCCCAATATCCAGGGGATAGAAGTTGATATTAAACCGAATATCACAGTGGGTGTACACAACTCCTGTCATATTGTTCCAAATATCCAGGCAGAGAGAGGATAATATTACTCAAAACATTCCTGGGGGTGTACACAGCCCTCTGTGATATTGTTTCTAATATACAGAAAGGGAGAGGATGATATTACTCTCAATAAACAGAAGGGTACAATTCCCATGTGATGTTGTTCTGAATATCTAGGGTGAGAGAGGATGATATTACTCCCAACATTGCAAAAGTTGTAAACACCTTCTGTGATATTGTTCCTAATATCCGGGGAGAAAGAAGATGATATGACTTTCAATATCGCAGGGGGTGTGCACCCCCCTCCCCGTGATATTGTTCCTAATATCCGGGGGAAAGAGGATGATGTTACTTCCAGGATCGCAGGGGGGTGTACACCCCCCTGTGATATTGTTTCTAACATCCAGAGGGGGAGAAGTTGATATTACTTCAAACATCGCCGGGGGTGTACACCCCACCTGTGATATTGTACTTAATATTTAGCGGGAGAGAGGGGGGTGATATTACCAATAACGTAGGGGAAAGTCAACCCCCTCTCCCCCGCTGGATATTACGAGCCATATGACAGGGAGGTGTCCACCCCCCACCATATGGAGAGTAATATCACCCTGTTCTCCCCCCACCTCCAGCTTCTTTCTGCTAAGGTCCCCTTGCCCCTCCAGGTGGCTTTCTTGGGGAAGGCATAAAAGAAATTACGTGGTTTTCTTGCTCAGATTTGTTCGCAAGTCCACGAGAAATACTCAGGGAGTCTTGCAAAAATCCGGTGTTACAGCAGCTAAGTCAGCCAGCTAGCCGTGCCCTACAGTTGAGATGGCATGTCATGATTCCCCTCTCTTTTACCTGCTGACTCCTCCTCAGCCTTCCGGACTCTGCTTAGGTGCCTCTTCCTCCAGGTTGTCCGCTCCTGTCCCCACCCTTCCTTACCTGCTCTCCTAATACCATGGGCTGATCCAGCGCAGCATTTCTCACACATCTTACAGCTGCCTGCCTCCAGTCTGTATCCGGACTCCACAACCTGAAGGTAACGGCTGCATCTGCCTTGATCATCATTGTATCCCTTGCTCCTACAACAGCACCTAACACAGAGTAATTCCTCAGTCAACATTTTCTGGATGGGTGAACAAAAAATAAATCTACACATCAAGTGAAAATTAGGCTGAGCAGAAATGAAGCAAGTGATAAAGTACAAGAGAAGGTTATACCTGTTATTCTAGGCATGCTAATTCTAATTTTAGAATTGCTGTGGTTATTTCATGTTACTCTGCCAGGCTTCAGTGTTAGGCAAGGGCAATTCTCTGTGTAAGCAGGGATAGCTTTCCTGAAAGGTCCTGTTGGTCCTGGGAAGTGATGGTACATGTGACTCATCCCTCAAACCAGAAGGCTAAGCTAAACTAGCAGGAGAGCTGCAGCAGGAACCTTCTGGCAGGAAAGAAACAGCATGCTCTGTGTACCACCCGTGTGTGACCGGAAATAAAGGAGGCCCACCATGTGAAGACTGACCAGGACGCAGAGAGAAGGACGTCAGGCAAGATTCCACCCGTGCTTAGGGACACAACATGTTTATTAGCATCATTAAGTACTAGCTGACATGCATAGAGCATTGAGTATGTGCCAGGCACTGTGCTAAGCACTTCACATACACTATTTCATGTGATCCCCACCATGGCCCTATAAGGTGAAACTTATAAATATCACCATTATATAGATGGGGAAATTGAGGCTTGGAGAGGTTAAGTTGTTTGCTTGAGGTCACAAAGCTGGTAAGCAGCAGAGCTGGAATCCAAACCAACAGAAATTCCATCTAGATACCCAACTCCTCACTGCCGTCTATCCTTGGAAACTAGACTAGTCTCCAAGGAAACATGAATCTACATTTTCTTTCAACTAATAAGAGCTCTTTCCTTACGGTAATTATTTAAATAGTTTTAATAAAAATTTAAAATCTATTTCAAGATTAAAGTTTCAAAGCCATCAAACATCAAATATATATGAAAATACATTTGTATATATTATAAACAGATATATGACGTGACATGAAGTGCTGGATCCAGTGCATCAGAAAATACACGCAAATATAAAATACCCGACAGCATTATGTAAAACATCAGCTGCTTGCCAAATCGGCATTAAATACTTAAGCACTGTGACCTGTTGCTTAAAGTATTACAAATCCAGCCTTATCGAAAAATCTCTATTTGTCCTAGGAAACTAATACTTTTTAAAAACAATAATTTGGTAATTTTAATAATATTTAGATCTATCTAAACTTAAAGCCTATATATTTACCACCCAAAAGGGTGGTAATGCTTACCAGTATTACAGACACAATAAATTTTATCAGGTATTTTTGATAATGTGCTAGGAATTGTTTGAAATATAAAGAAGAATAAGATTTCGTTTTCACCATCTCAGAGATTCCAGATAGTGGTGGACACAGAAACCCGTGAAAATAACTGCAGGATGAAATAGACGAAATTATAGAAGCCCTATGTACCATGGAAAAATGGACATTGACATGGAAATTTTATTTCATATGCATACTCTTTAAAGAAAGAAGAAGCCTAAAAAAGTTAGCTACCTTTGGTTTTTATTACTTATGTCTTACACTCAGGTGAACTTTTTTCTGTCTAATCTAATATCATTCAAATCCTGAGTCCTTTTAATTAAGTTATCCTAAAATGAATTTTCATGAACACAGAATTTGTGCTATTACTCTATCTGCACCTCATGGATATTACCACATTTTAGATTTTATGTTTTAAAACACAAAACAATATAAAACCTAAAGTTTTAACATAAAATGTCTTTGGATCTTCAACTAAAATACTAAAGATATAAAAAACTTTATTCTCCTCAAGATAAAACTAGATTTAAAATTGTCAGTGAAATAGTTGATTGATCATTTATATTTCTATAAATATATGGAAAATAATCTATTTTTTAATTGTAAGACATTACAATTTTAGATTGTATTTGCATTTAGGAAAATTTCACATAATCTTTACCAGATCCATGCTTACTCTGATAAAAATTTGTTTTTTCAATAGTTGATTCTTAAAAATATCTTGACTAATCCTTCTCCCTCTACAAACAATATTATTATTTGCCAATATTCAAAAGTCTGAATAAACGACCTTATCCCTGGGAATATCTTGCCAAAAAACTATTACCTGCAGCTACAAAGTCCAGAATGTCAACTTCTTCAGAACAAACAGTTCAGTTTCTCCCATAAAAAATGCAAGGGAAACAAAAAAAGAGGATTGAGGAAATCTAAAAGAGATATAATAGCCCATATCAACCAAACACAATACGTAACCCTTATTAGCATTCTAATTCAAACCAACCAACTAAACAAAAAGTTTTTAGACAATTGAAGATATTTAAATATTGCCTGGATAAACCGATGCTATTAATGGATTATTTAGGTGTGATAATGGTATTGTGGTTACATTGATGGGAATCTTCTTTTTTATAAATGGGGTCTTGCTGTGTTGCTCAGGGTGGTCTTGAACTCCTGGCCTAAAGTGATCCTCCAACCTCTGCCTCCCAAAGAGCTGGGATTACAGGGAGGAGCCACTGCATCCAGTCTCATTGATGGAATTATTATCTTTTAGAGAAATATTCAAAAATACAATACAATGATAGACTATCTGGGATTTGATTCAAAATAATTCAGTGGGGAGGGGACTGTCAGCAGATAAAGAAGACACAAGGTTGGCCCAGAGGAGAAGTACATACAGGTTAATTATACTAATCTCTTTATAAACATTGTTTGAAATATGACATAATGTATCCTATACAACTGATACCTTGAGTAACACAATAATAGTCCCCTTAATTTTAGGAACTACTGGTCATAAATATGCCCTTACATATAGACATCTCCTCTATACATAGCAAAATCACATTATTTGACAAAAAGGAAATCTCTTAGGCTACGTTTAATCTTATTGTTCTCTTTGCCTGGATTTGGGAATAGAAACTGCTTCACTGGCTAAGTAAATCATAACTGTCCCAAAATATTCTTAATTACTGATTTCAATAAACATATCCCTTCGTTCTAAGAACAACTAAGAAAATGAAGTTTATGTTCAGGTAAACCTGACAATGTTAAGGTAGTTGAGTAACAGGGAAGTAATGATTAACTGAATTTCATACTGGATTCTCAAATCCTTTTTCTTTTTCTACTCTAATGTTTCCTTTGGATGGGGCGAATTCTAGTATTGTTAGCGATCACCTATGTAACCTTTTTGCAGGTGGTGTATATGGAATCAATGAATGCTTAAAACCAATTAAAAATAATTTCAGTGATTACATGAAAACACAGCTAGAAAAACTAAAGTATTTTTGTAGAAATTACGAGAAGGTTACATTAACAATCAGAATAAGGTTACTATTTAGACTGTAATCAGGTGTCAATGTGGAAAGAAATTTCTGAGCATTTTTCCGGAAGGCTGGGGAGGAATGAGAATCATGACTCTCCACACTTCCAATAAAATGTGGTGAAGGACTGGTGCAAACTCTCAGAAGCCACCATTTGCTAAATCTCCCCGCCAGCCTTGTTAGTCCTTATCGCCGTTTGATTCCATTATTTTTCTCGTGGTTTCTGCTGTTTCTCTAAATTGTCTAACGACCGTTATTAAGTAAAAATGAATGAAACGGGGCCGTGTGATCTAGGCAGCCTGGAGATGAGATTTTGGAATCATAAGCTACATTCCAATGTATAAACAGATTTTATTCATTTTGGATACTCAATGTACACAGAATCGGCACTGTAGAATGTGACTGCCCTGCCAGAAGGCATCTGCTTGGGACTTCCTGGCAACCGATAGTCCCCTCTGCTTGCAACCCTCGGCCAGCCGCCGGGGACCCCTAGTCCACCGGTTCCTGGACGTTCTCTCTACTCTCCAGTGGCCACCACCTCCACTCCCACTCCTATAGTCCCGAACCTGCTGGCCTGAGGGTTCGCAGAGGGCCAGTCGTTGCGACAGCCCCGCGTCCCGGCCTCCTCGTCTCTTGGACCTTCACCCCAGGCCAGCGCAGCCCAGCTTCCTGGGCAAGTTTCACGCTACCAGGATCCAGTGCGGGGCGACGAAGTGGAGAGCTGTATCAAGACTCCGAAGAGAAATTCCGGCTTCGCGGGGCGGCGCGGAGCCCGGAGCTGCCCACCTCCGCCGCCTTGGGAAGGCGGCTGGGATTAGAAGGTGGCTTCGGGCCCGCAGGGAGTCCAGGGGAGGGATTCCCGGTACCGCCGGCACCTACGTCGAGGGGTGCCTGGGTTCTTGGGGACCATGAGAGGAAAAAGAACGAAAATCACACCAGGGAGGAAGAACGCGCAGAACGCCCCTCTGTGAAGCAGAGTGCTCTAGTCAGGCGTGAGCCGGAGCGCGGTCTGGGGGAGTCTGGCGGCGCCGTTCCCCGCACTCGGCAGAGGCTTGCAAGAAAACGCACAGCCCAGGGCGTGGGGTAGGGAACTGACCGCGCGAGTCTTTCGGCGCCTCTGGGTCTCGGGGAGAGAAAAGCGCTTCCTGGCACCGGGGGCGGTGGGACAGAGGCCAGGAGGAAGAAATCCGGGCCCTGGCCCAGGTCAGGCTTCCACCCCTGCGACCCGCAAGAGGCCCAGGCAGGAAAGGTGGCGTGCGCGAGTGGAGTTAGTGGTTCAGAAAGCAAACCTGGCCAGGTGCTACTGCCTGAGGGTCGTCGGGCGAGTTTCTTAATTTCTCCGAGTTACTTATTTCTAGTCTGGAAAACGGAGAATTCCATAGTGTCTTCTTCAGTGAGTGCTGGGAGTGCTAAAGGAGGATCCGGTGCCTGGCAGACCAGGAGCAGGGGGGAAACAGTTGGCCGATACTGTTACTATTATCAGCGTTATTAGCGGCCAGGACAGTGTGGGGGGCGGGCGGGGGTAAGGGGCCTCCCCGCGCCTCCCAGCCCTTCGCGCTCGGCTCCAGCTCTTTGGCTTCCTTCCCTGGGCAGCTCTAGGCTTAGCTCTCAGCCATTTCTCAAGAAGACGACCCCGAGGGTCGAAGACCACCCTTGACCCTTGACCATGGACTCTTCGTGTAACTTGGAAGAGCCGTGATTTTAAAACCCAGCCTCAGGGTTACAGAAGCCCGAGATCTGGGAGGCATCCGGGACCTCCCTCCCAGAACCACAGGGACCCGGCCTGGGATCCAGAGTGTGGCCTCTTGCTCTGTGCAGTCAGGAAGGCGGCCAGGTCTGGTCACCGCGCCAAGCACTACGCACCCCTGGGACGCGTCGTTGCGGGGGGGGTGGGGGGGCTGGGGCGCCTCCACGACGCCTGGTCTGCCCGGCAAGTGCTTGGTGTCGTTGGTGGGTTCGTAGCTGCGACAGGTAAACGTCCGTTCCGCGAGCCGGGCAGGGCAACCCCTGCGGGTCGCACCCGAAGGCCGGACCTCTCCAAGCTGCCTGGGTGCTTCCAAACAGGTGGACCCGAAGCTCCTGTTTGATCGGAGAATAACGTTTAATTTACTCCGCCACTGAATTGATTGTTTAAATATTCATCTTTGGATATGGTTTAACATTAGGCAAAAATTAGGAGCTTGGAGGCGGTTCCGGGAAGGGGTCTGACCCTCAGTCACCCATGTTCGTAGCTGTGTTGGTCTGCCCTCGGGCAAGAGAAGGAAGATAATTGGGAGGGTGCCAAGAAAGCCTAGAGAAAGTCCCTTCTGGGTTCAGCGGCCGGCTGTAGCCGCTCTCCCAGGACGTTTGTTGACAATAAATGAATGAAGGTCGGCCTGGAGACGTTTTCGCACAACGGACAGAGGGGAGTTGGACCGTAAACCAGCGAGAACCTGGCATGAAATAGGACCCCTCTATTCTCAGTTTGTTTCCAAACTCTTAGACTGCCCCAGCCCTGCCGGATTTGCTAAAAGTGGTCTATTTTGGACGCTGGTGGTGCTATGGGGCTGACGGCTACCTGTGCAAAGAAGAGGGAAGAATTGGAAGCTGGGGTCTGGGCAGCTACCAAAGGTGGGGCTTGGGAACTTTTCAGAACGTCCTCAGAACCGCAGGAGCCAAGAGGAAATCTCCCGTAGGGGATCTCAGGTAGGGCGTGCCAAGAAATTCCAAGAGACGGGATGGAGAAGAGAAGCCGGAGAAAAATCGGCCAATTAGACTCTTGTAAAAATGTGTGTCTCCATGTTTGTCCTCCCTCCTGAAATAAGAAATTCATAGCTGGGGGTGGGGAGTAGATGGGGGCTGGGGGAAAAACTTTCTCACATTCACGGAGCAGCTTCCCTCAAAGCGGCACGGAATCGGGAACCCCACTCAGGACAGGGGAAAACGGCCAAGTTCCTAGAAATTTGTTTTCTTTGTGGGGAGCAATTCATGATGGGCGTTCTTGTCTGGTTTCCCCCCACTCCGTCCCCTGACGCCGAGTAACACTTAAACCTTTCTAGTTGCAAAGTCTTTTCAGAGTTGTTTTTTTTTTAAGAAATAAGTTTTGAAAATTCTAGTGCTTAAAATATATATATATATATATAATTTATAGCCTTTTATTTTCTCTGAGTACATGTTGGCCACTACATTCCAAATTGATCTCAAATGGTTTTCCAGCTTGTTGAGGGGTGATGAAAAATAAATGGAGAATATATTTACATGCCCTCCTATTCTTTTCTTTTAGAAGTCTCATAAATAGTAAATTTCCTATTTTAAAAGCCAGGACATTTTCAACCTCAAATATTTGGAATTTTTAAAGGCCATATTAAAATGGATTACTTCTGCTATCTATAATAAATATGAATTGTGAAAATAAATTGTTTGAGGGAAAGTAACGTAGGTTTTAAAAAGTTCCATTTAGAAAGGGAAGAATGAGATGTAATAGAAAATAAACGATGTAGTGTAGTGACTTAGCATTTTATTTCGTCTATATAACTAGGCTTAATTTTAACACCTTAATTTTAACATTAAAGATGGCACGTCAGACACACAGATAAGAAATCAATGTTCTGAAATTAATATCCTACTTACATTAAACATCCCTATCAGGAAGACACAGAGAGTAGAAGCATTTTGCACTAGACTTAGGAATAATACTTCCAGCTCCAAGGAAGTGAAGAAGGGGGAACATGTTTGGCATCGGAGGCTGTGTTTTTGTTTGCTTGCTTGTTTTTCTTTTAATGCCAGAACAAAATACCCCACTCACGTTCATAGTACCCCAGGAAATGCGCAAATCGGGACAGCCATAGAAGCCACAACCGAAGGCAAGAAAAGATGACTTGACGCCCTGCGAAGGTTACGTTCAGGTGGTTTTTAGAGGAACGTAATCCAGCTGTTTCTTTCTAACCATTTTGCAGCGAACAGAAGTTCGTGTTTGCTCTCCAGCGGGATTCAGATGCACACGCCCTGAATGGGCCGCGCAAGGTGAAGTGAGCAGCTGCGGGTCGCTCCCCACTCCCACCTGGCTCTAGGAGGGCCCTGCGGAGTTGGCCAGGGAACTGGGCGTGGGCGATACTAAAAAAACTGGTGAGGTCCCCTCTCCGCCCAAAGGGGCAGCCAGCGATGTCAGCCTAGAGCCCTCTGCCACTGCCTGATACCTCAGCAGGGCCGACGAGGCCGACAGGTGCCCGCCCAGCACCGCGCCCTTGGTGGGAGCGCAGCCGTTGGCGCAGTCCTCCTCCTGATGCTGCTGCTATTGCTGCAAAATTGTCCGAGCAGCGGCGGCGGCGGACACTTGCAGCAAAGGGGCAGCGGTCTGGGGATGCAACAGGCTTGATGGTCGCTGGAGCAGGTGGCAGTAGCTCCACGCGGTCGGGGACAAACTCTGCGCAGCCCCTGTACCCGCTCCCCTGACCCCTTGCATAATACTCTCAATGCTGAAAGAGATGCATCCGCCTCCCGGTGGCGACGCCAGACCCTTGCCCTCCTCCCAAGGCTGAGGACCAAGTGAGGGCTGCAGCACGGGAAGGGTGCCGGGGTCGCCAGGGCCGCGCCTTCTGCTTTCTTCGGTGCCCCGGCATAGACGGGGGCCGAGAGCAGTAGGTAGCGAAGAGGATGCGGGTGCAGCAGAGCGTAAGGGCGTCTCCCGGGGGCGGTGTTGGGGTAGGCCCCCGGGACTGGCTGCGGCGGGGCAGGGGCCCCAAGCAGAGGGCCTGGGTGGGGGTTGTGCAGGGCGGCGTGTGCAGCAGGTAGAGGGAAGGGGTGGGGCAGGTGGGCTCCCGGGGTCAGTTGGTGGCGCTTGAAACGCTTCCTACGCCGGAGAAAGCTGCCATTGTCGAACATGTCTTGGGAGGCGGGGTCCAGGCTCCAGTAGTTGCCCTTGCCTGGGTGGCCCGGCTCGCGGGGGATCTTAACGAAGCAGTCGTTCAGCGAGAGGTTGTGGCGGATGCTGTTCTGCCAGGCGGGGAACTTGCGGCGGTAGTAGGGGAAGCGGCCACTAATGAAGGCGCAGATGCCGCTGAGCGTGAGGCGCTTGTGCGGGTTTTGCAGGATGGCCATGGTGATGAGCGCGATGTACGAGTAGGGGGGCTTTGCCGGCTGCCGGGCATCTTCAGAGGCCGCCGCAGACCTTGGCGGTGCCCTGAACTTGGTGCCAAACTCTGAGGGGTCGCTCGGGCCGCCGCCGCCCTCGATGTGCTCTCGGGGAAGCGCAACCCCGCCCCACCGGGCCACCTGCAGCCCCGGCTGGAGCGACTGCTCTAGGAACTGCTGGCTCGCCGCCTCCTCCTCGTCTTCCACCTCGTCTTCATCTTCCTCCTCTCCCAGGACATCGATTTTACCGTCTTCCCCATCGGAGTCCCGGAGGCTGCGCTGCGGTGTGGAGCGAAGGCGCTCAGCTCTTGGCAGGTTCATGGAGGAGCAGGTGCTTCAGTCGCAGGGGATGTGGCGACCGATCACCTAGCCTGGGGCGGGCTGAGCTGGAAGCCTGGGATGAATGTTGCAAGAAGCAGGAACGCTAGTGGTTACCCTTTGGGATGTTTTCGTCTGCTTGTTTCTACTCCTTTGCAACAACGTCCGGCAAAGATGCCTTTGCCTTTTATAAAAGCTTCTTCAAGACCATGTGTGGTGGACTCCCCCCTTTATAACCCTTCTTCCCCTACCTCGGAGCGGTGCCACTTCCTCCTAACGTAGTCCAGGGATGATGGTCTTCTGGGCAAACACCCGTCCGGAGAAAAGCCCAGCCCCCTCCTCCTCGCACCCACCTGCCACCAAGGAAGATGCTCTACTCATCCGGTGCAGCCAGACAGTTGGCAAGCCTTTGCACGGGTTCTGTTAAGGCGCATTTAAACCCGCGCAAATAAAAGCGAGGTAGGAAAGTATGATACTCAACATTCTATGACCACCTCAACATGCAGCCTTCCCGCCTGGAGAAAAGAAATGGTGGGGCAGGAGGCTGAAATGTACACGGTTGTTTGTAAAGGAATGTGTAACCGTAAAAGTATGTTTTTGTGTTTCACAGCTGGTAATCACCCATTTTCATTGGTAGAGTCTGCCCTTACCCAGAATGGTGAGCTGAATTATATTTAAGGTTCTGACAATATTCCCAGGCTTCAGGGGGGTGTTGCTTTGCTCCTTCTACCTTCCTTCCCACCTCCTCAAGATGCTCTCCCTGACTCAAATTTTCAGAAAAGGCTCAAATGTCCCAGCACTAAATTGTGTAAGTTTACTCAGGGAAGGCAGGAGAGCTCACACGGAGTCCTCTGTCCCCTTGTAGCAATGGTTCTCCAATTTCTTTGAATATTTAACCACAGAAATACATTTTATATCACAATCTCACACATACAGACATAATACATAACTAAGATGGGTTTCACGAAACAATATACTTACACTATAGTGATCACTGATATTTCCTTTTAAAAAAAAATGGCCATAACCAACTAAATTGATTTCACACATACCAGTATGGGCCCAGTTTGAAAAATCCTGTTCTTACAAAGTGGCCCCACATACAAGAAATGCACCCACTCTATAAGGGCTTCTCTCTCTCCCTTTCCTCCTTCCTTTCTTCATCCTTTATAACCAATTCATTTTTAGAGACAGGGTCTATGTTGCGCAGGCTGGCTTTGAATTCCTGGGCTCAAGTGATCCTCCCGCCTCAGCCTCCTGAGTAGGTGGGACTACAGGCGTGCCACTATGCCTGGCTCTGGCTCTTCATTCTTTTTTTTTTTTTTCTTTTTTTTTTTTTGAGACGGAGTCGCTCTGTCGCCCAGGCTGGAGTGCAGTGGGGCGATCTCAGCTCACTGCAAGCTCCGCCTCCTGGGTTCACGCCATTCTCCTGCCTCAGCCTCCCAAGTAGATGGGACTACAGGCGCTCGCCACCACGCCTGGCTAATATTTTTAGTAGAGACGGGGTTTCACCGTGTTAGCCAGGATGGTCTCGATGTCCTGACCTCATGATCCGCTTGCCTCAGCCTCCTAAAGTGCTGGGATTACCGGCGTGAGCCGCCATGCCCAGCCTCTTCATTCTTTCAGAAATGTCAACATTAAGTGCTTTTACTGTAATAAAACTTGGGACTTCAATGAGGCAAGAAGGGGCTGCAGTGTTGCCTTTAAATCAGTGGGTCCTCATTCACTATCTGCACTGGGGAGGGGCAATATGACAGCACAACTGTTCATCTCACTCCCTCCACATCCTTAGAAGTAACACGATTTTTAGATTGGCTTCATGAAAATTAGCTCAGAGACTAAAGTAGCACTACAGAGGAATAAAAAAAATTTGTTATATAAATAAGAATCTTATTAAAATACTAAGTAAGATACTATGCCACGGTATATATTCATAATTTAAAACCCACCTACTTGGGAAAACTTTGAGGTGCCATCTAATAAAAATGCAGCATGAAAGAATATTATGCCCTTGATAGTCACATAGTGTCTATAATTATGACAATGAATGTTCAGTGAGAAATCAAACGCCAACTGCAAGGGCAAAATATAATAAAAAATAGCTTAAAGTAGCTAGTGCCTTCAGGATAAAATCTGGAAAAGAGCTTTCTTGCTGATCTTTTTTTGAAACTTTGCTGCTCCTGAAGTTTTTACCCTTTAAGGCTCCTCAGTTTATATGAAGCTTGGAGGACAAATAACAGACAGGTTTGAGCCTAACAGATTTGTTTGAATCCCAAATTTACCAATGACTGCTTGTGTGACCTACTAAACTAAGCTCCAGGAGGGCCAGGCCAGGTGTCTTATTCAACCACATAATCCCAGACGCCTCCTCCCCAGCGCCCCCCAGCATGTGAGGCAAATTTCCTCCATCAGCATAGGAATCGGATGACCTGGGAAAGGGAGTATTAGTTTTCCTAGAGCCAGCTTCAATAGGGATTGGGGTTATTTAAAAATACAGGAGAAAAATAAGGAGGCGCTCAAAAACAAAACACAAAACCCACACTGATGGGGGTATGTCAAAGGGGGGAACAGGAGATAACGGAAAGAGTTCCCAATGGTCAAAGCTGGGATAATTTGAGCAACAAAATAAAGTAGTATTAAATTGTAACCCAAAGTATAAAATATTCATGTGTCCACACTGATAAACATAAATGATCGAACTAATAAAGCGAAAGGGACAACTGTCCCTTGCAGAAGAATTTCAATTAATTATGTAGACCACTCCCAAGAAAGTACACTACAACTCCCCATTCCTTTAGTGTGGGCTGTGCATAGTGATTTCCTTCCAAAGAGCACAGTATGAAATGGGGGAGAAGAGTAACTTTACAATGCAGAAACCTGACAAACACTCCTTCAGCCAGGTGATCAGGTCGTCAACATCAACATCAATAACAGTCATAACCTTTTATTTCATGTCATAAAATGGTGACACTTACTTGTGTTAAAAAAATTTAATAACAATGTAATCATTATATCTCTGCAATCAGCTGAAGTTCTAAGAAAAAATGACAATGTTGAAAGTTGTATCATCATTATTATAAACTTTCATGTTCAGTATATGTAAACTCCAAAGCCAATTTCAAAAGATATTTTTGTGAAATACCATTCTTTAAAAAAAAGGATATTGTATATAATTGTATGAATGTTAAATGTTTTACAGTACTGATTTGCTACATTTTATGTATGCTGTAAAACAAATACCATTTTAAAGTATATTGGAATTCGTAACTAAAGTAATAAATAAATGCTTGAAATATACCCAGTAGAAACTTATTTTTATTATCCAATCCTTTTGATAAGAAATGCCTCTAGTGTTATGTACAAACTTGATCTTCTTTGAAATGTGTTGTCCACTGCTTTTCTGTTTCTGTCACAGTAGCTATAAACAGCTGTTTAAGGATATCCTTATCTAAATTTCTGCCTGCAAACAAAACAAAATATGACGTGATTACATTATGCTTATTAAAATGACACAGTTCACCTATCAATTCCAGTTCATTAAATGCTTTATGGTGTTTAAAAATTTACAAAAAGAATAGTAATTGAGTGATTCCATCTTTAACTTTCCAGGTCAGTACATCAAAGTCACATTGGTCCTTGGATTAACCACTTTTCTAAAATTGAAGAAGAACAAAAGTCCTAACAAGCTTTTACGAACATTGTAACGTGACAAAGATGAAACATTGACCACAAGCTTATTTAGTTTTAAAAGAGGACCTGAATGGTTAATCTGTTTAAGTGGCACATGATATCCCTTTCAAATATATTTTTCACTTTGTTTCAAAACTGTGAATCCTTTGAGACTTACCAATGAGGACCAATCGATTTGTTCTCTCAGTGTCATCCTTCCAGCTCACTGGAGTCTCCTCCAGATCACAGAGCTCATGGACACCCTGGACAATCACTTGTTGTGATTTGTCTTTGATTGACACCAATCCCTGCTCAAAGGAGAATTGACTGAACATTAATCAGCCTCAGTTCAAACTTAAAAGCAGAAATAGAGCATCAATGTTAATGGATTAATTACTGATATTCACTTAAAAAATACAAACTCTTAAGCTGAGAAAATTACTTAATTCCAATTATTTGTGAATTACAAGAAGTTTCTTAATGTTTTTAATTTTCAAAAAAGGTTTCTGTGTATTGATTTTTTTTTTGAACAATCCCCTTTTCTAATGATAAAGTTAATACATATATTAGGATGGTTTTTCAGTGTTATTTATCACAACCAAAACCTGAAACAAAATGATGAAATATGTATCATATCCTATTGATTAAAGATTTTATATAATGTTTCACAGTTTTAGTGGGAAAAGTTGAGAAGTTAAAGGAGTTTGGTTATATTAAATAATTTGTTTTAGAAATGGGTTGCAATCAATGAACAATGTTGAAATAAAGAAAAACTATTATATTTATCTGGATATGAGCTCAATTTATCTGAATATGAGCTCATTGTGTATTGATTTGCAGAAATGAGAAACGAATTATCTGATAAACTGGCTCCTATGGGGATGAAATTAATTTATTTGAAATAATATTCTTAATTTACCAAAAACTTTGTGCACACTTGTGAACACACAAGAGTAGACACTCAACTGACTGGTTAAGCATACACTTTAGAATCACTGCTTCCTAGAAGAAATACCTTTCATGACTTAAATACCCAAATATCAAGTAATGTGAGTGGGTTTCTAAATACAGAACAAGAATTCTTCTAGTCCTTTGTAACTTTGTTTAGAGTACAACAAATGTTTAGTGTCTGCTAAATGCATCAGGAAGCATAATGTTCAGCAGAAGTGAGATTTGCAACATTATTTCTCTGTACTTGGGAACAGAGAGCAGAAGGTAACATTTCAAAGCACACAGGTTTGTTCTAGCTGCAACCCTAAAGAAAGTTGTGCAAATAAATCAAGCCTTATGCAGTGATTTCCAAAGCTCCTTTTCAGTCATGAAAATAATAAAGAAAAATGAAAGTAGACAAAGATGATTTGTACTAAAACCAGTGTTTCTGTTTAAAACCAAATATAGTTTTTATAACAGCCAAGAAAAGGACTTTGTCCAAAAGTCTGCAACAGTAAACTGTACCTTCAGCCTTATGACCTCCATGCAGTGATTGTCCTTGTTTCTCACATTCTTTTCCCACAGAAGATTCTGTATCAAGTGACATATTTTAATAAGACCAACCATCGCTAATAGCAACAACTATGTAACAAAACCATTGATAAATCATTAATCAGTTAAAAATTGCATTCACCTGAATAAACATATTAAGATGTTCTTCCTTTGCATTTCCTGGTACGTCAAATGTGATTGTAACAATACTCTGTAAATCAAGGGAAATAATAATAATTCTTTATAGTGATATCAATGTTTTTTAAATCACAAATTTTAAGATGAAAGGAACATATTCATGGAATTTTACATTGCTTAAACCATATATATTAGGTATTATACTTTCCTCAGCATATGTGCTGTTTTTTTGGAATTAGCAACTCCATTTCCTACATTCTGCACAGGTACCAATGGATTTAGTATTTACACAAACTACTACCTTGTATTTTAAAAAACTCACTCAAAAACCCTGATGAAAGGGTCCTCATTATTTAATTCATTCTTTCGTGGATTCTCAGCAATAAGAATATATGTAACACATACAATGTACTCACTATACAGGGCCAGGTACTTTTGCCTGAGTCACCTCATTGTATCTTTTGACTTACTCTTCACAACAATCCTGGGGAGTGAAGATAACTATTTCATTTTATAAATTGGGGAAAATAAGGGTCAAAAAAATAAGCTACCCAGAGCCAGGAATAAAACTCAGAACCAAAGTAAATTTGTTCTCTTAAAAAAAAAATACAAAAGAAAGGC
Organism: Homo sapiens; assembly: GCF_000001405.40. Lineage (NCBI taxonomy): Eukaryota > Metazoa > Chordata > Mammalia > Primates > Hominidae > Homo > Homo sapiens. The sequence goes on from NC_000009.12 coordinate 41,134,291, forward strand.
TTGGCTTATCTTTAACTGAATAAGCATGTGCCAAGAGGAGAAGAGTTCTTAGTGATGAGAATGATAGGATAATGCCCTCTTTGGCTTTAGTAAGGGTGACATCATCATGTATTGAATATTAACTTTAGGATTTATTTTTCTTCTTTATCTTGATAAATCTCTCACTGTCTACCCTAAAGAAACAGAAGCTTAACATTTCCTCTAACAGGTCACCTAATTAAAACCCAAACCTCCCTTTGCCAATATAACCCCAAATTTCAAACTCAGAGATGAAAATACACAAGGGCTAAGCATAACATTATAAAAACATACACCCCACCTTGGAAAATAGAGGCTCAAAAGCCAAGCTCAAAATGAATTTAAAAAGGTAGAAAATAATATACTAAAGCACATCTTTGCATAACTTCCTAGAACTGCGTATCTGGCCTAGCAATTTTACTCACCATTACATAATCATACAGGCTTACAGCAGAAAATACAAAAAGACCAAAACTATTTTATAATCCAAACTCAAGAGAATCGCTAAAGTATTAAAGACCAATTTAGGCAGAAACATATGAGACATTTCTTTCTTTCCATAGGTTACTGGGGAACAGGTGGTGTTGGTTAACTTCTTTAGTGGTGATTTGTGAGATTTTGGTACACCCATCACCTGAGCAGTATACACTGCACCCAATTTCTGTCTTTTATTCCTCATCCCCTTCCCACCCTTTCTCCCTGAGTCCCCAAAGTTTATTGTGTCATTCTTATGCCTTTGCATCCTCATAGCTTAGCTCCCACTTACGAGTGAGAACATAGCGATGTTTGGTTTTCCATTCCTGAGTTCTTTCACTTAGAATAATAGTCTCCAATCTTATCCAGGTCACTGTGAATGCCATTAATTCACTCCTTTTTATGGCTGAGGAGTATTCCATTGTATGTATATATATCACAGTTACTTTATCCACGCATTGATTGATGGGCATTTGGGTTGGTTCCACGTTTTTGCAATTGCGAATTGTGCTGCTATAAACATGCGTGTGCACGTATCTTTTTTGTATAATGACTTCTTTTCCTCTGGGTGGATATCTAGTAGTGGGATTGCTGGACCAAATGGTAGTTCTACTTTTAGTTCTTTAAGGAATCTCCACACTGTTTTCCATAGTGGTTGTACTAGTTTACATTCCCACCAGCAGTGTAGAAGTGTTCCGTGTTCACCACATCCATGCCAACATCTACTATTTTTTTGATTTTTTTATTATGGCCATTCTTGCAGAAGTAAGGTGGTATCGCACTGTGGTTTTGATTTGCATTTCCCTGATCATTAGTGATGTTGAGCATTTTTCCATATGTTTATTGGCCATTTGTATATCTTCTTTTAAGAATTGTCTATTCATGTCCTTAGCCCACTTTTTGATGGGACTGCTTTTCTTGCTGATTTGTTGGAGTTCATTGTAGATTCTGGATATTTGTTCTTTTTCAGATGTATATATTATGAAAGATTTTCTCCTTCTCTGTGGGTTGTCTGTTTACTCTCCTGACTTTTCCTTTTGCTCTGCAAAAGTTCTTTAGTTTAATTAAGTCCCAGCTATTTATCTTTGTTTTTATTGCATTTGCTTTTGGGTTCATGAAATCCTTGCCTAAGCCAATGTCTAGAATGATTTTTCCAATGGTATCTTTTAGAATTTTTATAGTTTCAGGTCTTAGATTTAAGTCTTTAATTTATCTTGGGTTGATTTTTGTATACAGTGAGAGAGGAGGATCCAGTTTCATTCTCCTACATGTGGCTAGCCAATTATCCCAGCACCATTTGTTGAAAAGGGTATCCTTTTTCCACTTTACGTTTTTGTTTGCTTTGTTGAAGATCAGTTGGCTGTAAGTATTTGGGTTTATTTCTGGGTTCTCTATTCTGTTCCATTGGTCCATGTGCCTATTTTTATAACCGTACCATGCTGTTTTGGTGACTATGGCCTTATAGTATAAGTTTGAAATCAGGTAATGTGATGCCTTCAGATTTGTTCTTTTTGCTTAGTCTTGCTTTGGCTACGCACATGTGTATGTTAAACCATCCCTGCATCCCTGGTATGAAACCCCTTGATCATGGTGGATTATCTTTTTGATATGTTGTTGGAATCAGTTAGCTAGAATTTTCTTAAGGATTTTAGCATCTATGTTCAAGGATATTGGTCTGTAGTTTTCTTCTTTGGTTGTCCTTTCCTGGTTTTGGTATTAGGGTGATACTGGCTTCATAGAATGATTTAGGGAGGATTCCTTCTTTCTCTCTCTTGTGGAATAGTGTCTTTAAGACTGGTACCAATTCTTCTTTGAATATCTGGTGGAATTCTGTTGTGAATCCGTCTAGTCCTGGACATTTTTTTGTTGGTAATTTTTTAATTACCATTTCAATCTCCCTGCTTGTTACTGGTCTGTTCAGGGTAATTCTTCCTGATTTAAGCTAGGAGGGTTGTATCTTTCCAGGAATTTATCCATCTATTTTAGGTTTTCTAGTTTATGCATGTAAAGGTGTTCATGGTAGCCTTGAATATCTTTTGTATTTCTGTGGTGTCAGTTGTAATATCTCCCGTTTCATTTCTTATTGAGCTTATTTGGATTTTCTCTCTTTTCTTGGCTAATCTTGCTAACGGTCTATCAATTTTATTTATCTTTTCAAAGAACCAGCTTTTTGTTTCATTTATCTTTTGGATTTTTTTGTTGTTTTGTTTCAATTTCATTTAATTCCGCTCTGATCTTCTTTCTTCTGCTGGGTTTGTTCTTGTTTCTCTAGTTCTTTGAGATGTGACCTTAGATTGTCTGTGCTCTTTCCAACTTTTTGATGTAGGCATTTAGGGCTATGAACTTTCCTCTTAGCACCACCTTTGCTGTATCCCAGAGGTTGATAGGTTGTGTCACTATTGTCATTCAGTTTGAGGAATTTTTACATTTCCATCTTGATTTCATCTTTGACCCAATGATCATTCAGGAGCAGGTTATTCCATGTATCTGCATGGTTTTGAAGGTTCCTTTTGGAGTTGATTTCCAGTTTTATTCCACTGTGGTCTGAGAAAGTGCTTGATATAATTTTAATTTTCTTAAAATTTATTGAGGCTCATTTTGTTGGCTATCATATGGTCTATCTTACAGAAAGTTCATGTGCTGTTGAACAGAACGTATATTCTGTGGTTGTTGCATGGAATATTCTGTATATATCTTTTAACTCCATTTGTTCCAAGGTATAGTTTAAATCCACTGTTTCTTTGTTGACTTTCTGTCTTGATGACCTGTCCAGTGCTGTCAGTGGAGTATTAAAATCCCTCACTATTATTGTGTTGCTGTCTGTCTAATTTTTTAGGTCTATTAGTAATTCTTTTATAAATTTGGGAGCTCCAGTGTTAGGTGCATATGTTTAGGATTGTGATACTTTCCTGTTGGACAAGGCCTTTTTTCATTATATAATGTCCCTCTTTGTCTTTTTAAACTGCTGTTTCTTTAAAGTTTGTTTTGTCTAATATAAGAATGGCTACTCCTGCTCACATTTGGTGTCCGTTTGCATGAAATGTCTCGGTCCATCCCTTTACCTTAAGTTTATGTGAGTCCTTATGTGTTAGATGAGACTCTTGAAGGCAACAGATAGTTGGTTGGTGAATTCTTACCTATTCTGCAATTCTGTATCTTTTAAGTGGAGCATTTAGGCCATTTATATTCAATGTTAGTATTGAGATGTGAGGTACCACTCTATTCATCATGCTATTTGTTGCCTGTATACCTTGTTTTTTTGTTTTTTGTTGTTTTTCTAATTGTATTTTTGTTTTATAGGTCCTGTGATATTTATGCTTTAAAGAGGTTCTGTTTTGATATGTTTCCCGGATTTGTTTCAAGATTTAGAGTTCCTTTTAGCATTCTTGCACTGGTGGCTTGGTAGTGGTGAATTCTCTGTTTGTCTGAAAAAGCTGTATCTTGCCTTCATATATGAAGCTTAGTTTTGCTGAATACAAAATTCTCAGCTGATAATTGTTTTGTTTGAGGAGGCTGAAGATAGGGTTCCAATCCCTTCTGGCTTGCAGGGTTTCTGCTGAGAAATGTGCTGTTAATCTGGTAAGTTTTCCTTTACAGGTTACCTGGTGCTTTTGTTTCACAGCTCTTTCTTTCATCTTAACTTTAGATAACCTGACGACAATGTGCCTAGATGATGATCTTTTTGCGATGAATTTCCCAGATGTTCTTTGTGCTTCTTGTATTTGGATCTAGGTCTCTAGCAAAGCTGGGGAAGTTTTCCTCAATTATTCCCCCAAATATGTTTAACAAACGTTTAGATTTCTCTTCTTCCTCAGGAATGCCGGTTATTCTTAGGTTTGGTCATTTAACATAATTCCAGATTTCTTGAAGGCTTTCTTCATATTTTCTTATTCTTTTTTCTTTGTCTTTATTGGATTTGGTTAATTAGAAGACCTTGTCTTCAGGCTCTGAATTTCCTTCTTCTACTTGTTCAATTCTATTGCTAAGACTTTCCAGAGCATTTTATATTTCTATAAGTATGTCCATTATTTCCTAAAGTTTTGATTGTTTTTTATTTATGCTATCTAGTTCATTGAATATTTCTCCCTTTACTTCTTGTATCTTTTTTTTTTATATATATATCCTTACATTGGGCTTCACCTTTCTCTGGTGCCTTAGCTTAATAACCAACCTAGTGAATTCTTTTTCAAGTAAGTCAGGGATTTCTTCTTAGTTTGGATCCATTGCTGGTGAGCTAGTGTGATTTTTTGGGGGGTGTTAAAGAACCTTGTTTTGTCATACTACCAGGGTCGGTTTTCTGGTTCCTTCTCATTTGGGTAGGCTCTGTCAGAGAGAAGGTCTAGGGCTGAAGGTTGTTGTTCAGATTCTTTCATCCTACGGGGTGTTCCCTTGATGTAGTACTCTCTCCCTTTTCCTATGGATGTGGCTTCCTGAGAGCTGAGCTGTAGTGATTGCTATCTCTCTTCTGAATCTAGCCACCCAGCAAGTCTACCAGGCTCCAGGCTGGTACTGGGGGGTAGTCTGCACAGAGTCGGGAGATGTGAACCATCTGTGGGTCTCTCAGCTGTGGATACCAGCACCTGTTCCAGTGGAGGTGGTAGGAGGGTGAAATGTACTCTTTGAGGGTTCTTAGCTTTGCTGGTTTAATGTACTATTTTTGTGCTGGTTGGCCTGCTGCAGGGAGGTGGCACTTTCCAGAGAGTGTCAGTTGTGGTAGTATGGAAAGGAACAGGTGATGTGTTGGGCTCTAGAACGCCCAAAAACATGAGATATTTAATCTCCACTGTTACTAGTAATAGGAAAAGCGGAAAAGTGCTTTCTTGCTTGATAAGAGAAGTACAAGCAGACTAAAAAAAGATTCAAATTGAACTTGCAAATGTGAGACTTTTAAAAGTACTTATTTTGTCACAGCAGCCAAGACACTAACAACCACCTAAATGTCCAGGACAGTTGAATGGATAAAATAAATGTGGTAATATACATACAACCAAATATTATGTATCCTTAAAAAAAATCCTGTCATATACTACAACATGGATGAATCTTGAGGACATTACACTAAGTGAAATAAGCCAGTCACAGAAGGACAAATATTGCATGAATCCACTAATATCAGGTGTCTAAAACAGTAAAACTCATCAAATCAGAAAGTAAAATGGTGGTTACCAGGGGTCAGAGGGAGACGAAAATTGGGAGGTGCTGTTCAATGGGTATAATTTTAGTCATGCAAGATGAAAAGTTCTAGAGATCTGCTATATAACAATGTACATACAGTTAACAATACTATATTGTACCCTTAAAAATTTGTGGAAGAAGGTAGGTCTCACGTTAAGTGTTTTTTACCACAATAAAAAATATACAGTCATGGATACATAAAGAGAAATGAGCTGTTGGGCAATTTTGTTGTTATACAAACATGATAGTGTACTTACACAAACCTAGATGGTATAACCTACTACACACCTAAGCTATGCTGTATAGCCTGTTGCTCCTAGGCTACAAACCTGTACAGCATATATGTTACTGTACTGAACAGTGTATCGAAATAATAACACAATGGTATTTGTGTGACAGTAATTTTTCAGCTCCATCATAATCTTATGCAGTCTGACTAAAACGCTGTTATGCAGTGCATGACTATACTTATTTTTAAATCTTAATAAACATACTCTATTTTAAAACTATTTTTATAGCATAAGGTAATAATAATATGCATTTTTAAATGACAATTATTTTATTTCTTCATTAAAGGAATCACTACAATACCTAAAAGTCCACATAAAAATATACAGCAAAAGGTTGTCAAATGAAACATAACTGTCAGTTAAAAAAAAATAAATTTAGTCTTCAAAAATGTTTAAAATGTATTTTAATGCAAGTTGGAAAACTATATTGAGAATGTCGCAAAATACGACTCAAAATTGCTTTATTGTTAAAGATTTTAACTGAATAAATTTTTTTGAGATGGGGTCTCACTCTGTTGCCCAGGCTGGAGTAGAGTGGCACAATCATGGCTTACTGTAGCTTTGAACTCCCAAGCTAAAGCAATCCTCCCACTTCAGCCTCTCGAGTAGCTGGGATTACAGGTACATGCCACCATGCCTGGCTAATTTTTTGTATTTTTTGCAGAAATGGGGTTTCACCATGTTGCCCAGGCTGGTCTACAACTCCTGGGTTTTAAGCAATCCACCCACCTTGGCCTGTCAAAGCGCTAGGATTACAAGCATAAGCCACCACACCCAGCCTAAAGATTTTTATAATGATTTTTGCTTTTAACAGGTTAAATATTTTTGACTTAATATTTTTAAGGGGTACAATAAACTCCAGTATGAGACAAAAAAGGCTTTAAAAATTAAAGCTCAAGAAGGATGATCTATATTTTGGAACCAGATGTTTTCCTACACCAATAAACTCTTTTCATGTTAGAAAAACCCTGAAAAAATCTGTAATTCCCAGTGCAGAAGATAAGGGTCACAACTCATAGTTGGTTCTAATAATAAACTAAACATTATTTGTCACTTGGGTTTTCTCATCTACCTTCCCGCTCTCCAAACCCAGGTGTTCCTTATGGGGAATAAACAAAGAATCCATGAAAAATAGATAACTGCATTAAAAATTCAGGGATAGAGCCTTAATAACACATATATACTAGGTCCTAGGTATTACCCATTTCAGACTTTTTTTTTCCAGTTTTTGTTTTGAATCTAAAATTAACTCCTTTTTCCATGTATGCTGACACAGAAAGAAACAGAAAAGTGAGGCAATAATTGAGAAAACTAAAGCAAAATGAGGAATTGTCTCTAAAATAAAATTTAGGAACAACTTACTCAGGTTTGTTTATTTAGTCCGTTTCTTCTTTAACCCACTGGGTTATTTCTCCATTTTCTACTCTTTTGCAAACAATACCTAACATACAATAACTTTTATATGTTTTCTTCATCCAGAACACTAAGCCCCCTAATGTGCTTAAACTCAAAATCTGTACCTTCACACTCTATCCCTCTGTTCTTCTTTGCCTGTATAATATCTATAGTATAATATCTGGCCACCAGGGACAACTGAATATATGGCATTATCATCCAAATCACTTTGCCGTCCCGATTTTTCTATTTCTAGGTTTCTCTAGTCAATCTAGGCTTGTTTCCCATCACCCCTTCTTTTCTTTCTGATCCATACTCAGTCAGACAGGATATTCAGGCAAGTCTACTGGTGAAACAGCTCTGGATTTATCCCATTTCTAGTCTCACTGTAACCAACATGTTTCAGGCCCTTATCACACAGTAACTTCCCGCATGGTCTCCTGACTCTAAAGTCCAATCTAGCTTACATAACACTCCTAGACAGCACTGCTTGAGTTTTCTTTGTCTAGCAAATTAAAACCTAATACCTTAGACCAGGATTCCAGTACCAACTCTCCACTAAGACTTCTGTACCAGAGACCTACTCATCTATAAGATTCTCACCTTCTCATTTTTAAACATCCATATTGCTCTTTTCCTTACTTCTTCCTGTCAAAAAAAATCCTACCGTCAAAAAAAATCCTACCAGTTCAAGGTTATTTTTTGTTAAGTAAGTCAGAATAGCACTTACCCCTTCTTTGACTAGGAAGGGGCAAAAAGGAACTCTTTACAATTTTGGATATCTTTTGTATCTTGACCTGAGTGGGAGTTAGAAGGATATGTGTTTGAATGTGCATATAGACAGATATATAGGTACAAATATATGTAAAAATACATTGAGGCCGGGCACAGTGGCTCACGCCTGTAATCCCAGCACTTTGGGAGGCCGAAGCAGGTGGATCACCTGAAGTCAGGAGTTTGAGACCAGCTTGGCCAACATGGTGAAACCCCATCTTTACTAAAAAAAAAAAAAAAAAAAAAAAAAAAAAAAAAATACAAAAATTAGCTAGGCATGGTGGTACATGCCTGTAATCCCAGCTACTCAGAAGGCTGAGGCATGAGAATCACTTGAATCTAGAAGGAGGAAGTTGCAGTGAGCCAAGGTCACACCACTGCACTCCAGCCTGGGTGAGACTCCAGCCAGAGCGAGACTCCGTCTCAGAAAAAACCAAAAAAACAAAAACAAAAACAAAACCCAAACATTGAATTGTACACTAAAATTACACATTTACATGCTTTATGCAAATAAATAAACCAAAACCAAAACAAACAAACAAAAAACTATCCTCATGAAGCATTTGATGGGGTTCAGGACATGCTATCCCAAAATATGGCAACTCAATATTTGAGAAAATGGCAGAATCAGGAAGGTCACTCTCACCTTCTCTCCTGAAGCAGGTCATAAAACCTAGGAAAGATTTTCTGACCTTCCGCTGATGCAGGTCATAAGACCCTCATTTAAGAGGTGCCCTCTCTATACACAGAGGAAAAGAACATCCTTAAGTCTGAATATGAAGGGTCACAGAGAAAAATCTGAACAAACAGGCCTTGCTAAGTTCTTCCCAGTTTATTATTAGATCATACTGTTTTATCTAATTATGCTTCTCCATTAACTATCCTCTTCCATACCATAACTAACAGAAAACATACACAGGTATGTTTTATGAAGGCTCCTGTGTCAAGTAAAACTTACTAAATAAATTTCTATGTTGAAATTTCTCTTGATAGTTGGTCTTCTGTTAGAGAGACCTCAGCCATGAATCTAGTGATAGGCGAGGAAAAGATAAATTTCCTCCCTTACACCTCAGATCCACTAAACCAAATGAAATTGTTCTTGCCTCTGAATCCCATAGCCCTTTGGCTGTGATACTATTTTTCCCTATGTTTATATTATCTAAAGCAGGACAGTGCATCAGAATCTCCTACAGAGGCTACAAAAATATAGATATGCCCTATTTAGTAGTAAAGTGACATAATGTCTGGAATTTGCTTTAATACACTACACCAAGAGCAATAGGTACATACAGGCTCATTATACTATTCTACTCTTATGCACGTTTGAAATTTCCTATTAAAATACATTTGTTTTTTTAAAATACTCCAGGCAAAAGAAATGTTGGGAGGATAGGTGAAATAAAATCAGCTAAATGTTGATGCCATTTAAACTGGGTGATGCATACAAGGGGTTTACTTTACTATTCTGTTTATTCTTTTATATCTTTGAAATCTTCCATAATAAAATGTTAAAAATATACATTAATATACACATACCCAAGTCCCAATCCTGGAGACTGAGGGGTGAGAACTACTGAATTATCGATTTTTTTTTAAAAAAGCTCCACATGTGATTCTGATTTATACCTCATTTGAGAAACACAGCTTTTCATTCTTTTAACAAATATTCACTGAGTATCCACCAAGCCCTGTACTAAGCAATAAAGATTTTATATTTAAGGAATTTATAGACTAATGCAAGGCAAAAGCATTTCAACCAAACTACAAGGCATCATAACTGCCACAATAGGGGTTCATTCGAGATTCTATGGATGGAGACACTGGCTGCTCCAAATGTTCATGGTAAGTGAGTACTGCGTTTGCTTCATCTTTTCATCCCTATGATTCTTGGTATCACGTTCTTTACCCAGAAGCTCAAATGTGCTTCATGTTCAACTATATGACAGATACCGACTATCATAAAGAACTGAGTTTTTTTTTTTTTACCATAAATTCTATCTCCAAGGACTTGTATTTCTCTCATTTATTCATTTTAAAGATAAGTGAAGAGGAATATCCTATTAACAAAAGTTTCACAGGGAAAGGTGCCACAAACATAGTAGCAAACCTGCTCATAAATGTGAACCAAAATGAATACAAATGCAAGTAGCTGTTATCTTGGCCCTATTACAACCAACAGCAATTCAAAAATTGAGTGATCACTTGAGAGAGAGGAAGGAAGATTAGGCACACTGCTCACTTACACATCCCCCACTCCACCCCTCAGGGTTTTAAGAGGAACAAAGAAGTTATCCTAAAGCTCTATGATCTATGATCTGCTTAACAGAAACGCAGGTACAGTAAAATTATATTTAAATTGTTCCTAGCATCTTAGATATTTACCTTAGGGATTAGAATTTTAGAGCATGAAAAACATCTTAAGGAGTTCAAATTTATAGTGCTACCTGAAGGTGAAACTCCAAGTCAATTTTTATTTAAATAAGCCATGCTTATATCAGACCTTTCCTTAAACAATTCAACATACTTAAAAACAGACTGCCTATAGAACCCCCAGGCTGCTTTTAAGGAGTAATCCCTATCAGAACTAACCAATATGCTAAGCAATCTACAGAATGGAAAGGCTAGAAAGCATGGTTTCCTCAGATTCTAAAACAAATCTGGTTTGATGAATTCCTATTATGTGTTAAGAAATAGAATTAGACTATGTCAAAAGCATTTAAGATTCCAAAAATTATCAACACAGTTCAAAAATACCATTTTAGAAAAAGTTTATAATAAAATAGTCCTAAACATAGCCTATCTAGTTAAAGAGGTCCTTTAAAAACATTGATTAGAAATTTTGGATTTAGATTTTTTTTCTTTACCTGATCAAGGTGAGGTTGTGTTCCTGGCACATGCTGAAGTTTTTTCTGCAAACTAAAAACAACTGATTAGAAATTCAGAGATGAATACACTTCTGATTTAACTTTATACGTTATTTAGTGACACAAGGATAATGAAGTGACTTTCCATAACTGACTATTCTAATATTCTGTAATTCCAATTTTACAAGTTGTTCGCAAATTCCAATAGAGAAAAGCTGGCAGATTAAGTTTTTTTAAAATTTCTTAAAAAAAAACACACATTCATATATATACATATGCACAGAATAAAGAGAAAAACTAGTCTTTTAGCAACACTATTTTGTATGGTTAAATATGTCAGTAAATTTCTTTACCATTCCAACAGGTTTAATACAAACTTAAATATATATATAACCATTCTAGTATTGTTTAGAGTTCCTTAACTTTCTCCTGCTTCCTAATATGAAAATAATGCTGGCACCTAAAGAAAGTTGAAAGGATAAATTTTCCTTTATCAATGTTTTCCCTTGAACTTATTAAAAAAGAAATAGTATCCATAAATATAAATTTTCTATATAGTCAGTTACCAATTGAGAGAAAAAGAAAGTCAGAATGTTAAAAATACATTGTTCTGATATGAAAAGCACAAGAAGATCAACATGGCATAACAAATTACAACCATAATAACTGTAGCATACATTTCAACACTGATGGGGACAGGACGGGAGGGGGAAAGGACTGAAAACCTTGCAGATGCTTTGCCTTGAAGAACAGTGAGGGGTAAATTAGTAACAGCAAGTTTAGGAAAGAGAAAGAACTTGTAGGAACTATTGGAGGGAATGAGTCTCTTTGGGGGGTCCTAGTAAGGAGAATGTCAAATTAAATCCTTCCCAGCTGGTTGCTCAGGAAAAGATTCTCCTGTTTAGCAGTTAAGCACACACAAAAAAGTCATGCAATGGCCTTCCCTATAGTGGTGAGATCACATTAAATAGCTACTTCAAGTGTCACTAAAGCATTATAACTGCTCTTAAGTGTATGTAGAATGAGATTACTTTAGAAAAACATTTCAAAAAATCATATGCTTTTCCTTATGTTCAGTATTTAATGTTGTTGGACAATGACTGCCTAAAACTTCATACGCAGCAAAAAAAAAAAAAAAAAAAAAATCTAACAACGAACATTTAAGTTTAGTTCCCATAAGTCTCAGAATTTCATGCCCTCGATTTTTTTCCCTATCATACACATTTTTAAAAGACTAATCTAGTGGATAAGGATATGCTATCAAAACCTGAAACTCATGAATCGGAAATCATCTTGCACATTAACTTGTAATCTTATAACAATTTTTGTCTCTGCACACATAAAATGTAAATTCTGCACGCATAAAATGTAAAAAATCTCAAACAGTTTAGTGTTTTGTATATTTAAATCATTATGTTCTATAACAAACAATAATTTAGGTATTGTCAGTAAGATGGAATTAGCAACATTTCTATTTCTCCCAAGTAAAAATATAGAATGATATAAAGAACTGGATGCCTTGATGAAAGTACCTGTATTACAGCAAATTATAGCAAAAGACAGAAGTAGAAAGGAAAAACAAAAATTGATATACTGAATATAGAGGTGGGAAATGATTGCATACTATAATTCTTATTAGTGAAATAAAGCACTAAAGGATACAATATGTAAAGGGAAAAAATAAAACTTCAACTAAAAAATATTCTAGTGTTTAACATATTAAATGACAACCAACTTGTAAGCTCTTGGACCCAACAGAGATAAATTAGTTTAAGAAAGGCAAATTTTGCTGGGTTCAGTGGCTCAGGCTTATAATCCCAGCACTTTGAGAGGCCAAGTAGGAGAATCACTTGAGGCCAGGAGTTCAAGATGAGCCTGAGCAACGTAGCGAGAGCCTGTCACTACAAAAAAGTAAAAATAAAAAAATTAGCCAGGCATGGGTGCAAGCCTGTAGTCCCAGCTACTCAGGAGGCTGAGATGGGAGGATCACTTGAGTCCAGGAGTTCACGACTGCAGAGAGCCATGATAGCCACTGCATTCCAGCCCAGGTGTCAGAGTGAGACTCTGTCTCAATAAAATAAAATAATTAAATAAATATGAAAAAAAGAAAAGGCCAAGTGTGGTGGCTCACGCCTATAATCCCATTACTTTGGGAGGCTGAGGTGGGCAGATCACTTAAGCCCAGGAGTTTAAGATCAGCTTCGGCAACATGGCAAAACCTCATCTTCTACCAAAATAAAAAATTAGCCAGGCATGGTAGTGCGTGCCTATAGTCCCAGCTACTCATGAGTCTGAGGTGGGAAGATGGCTTAAGCCCAGGACACAGAGGCTATAGGGAGCTGACATCGCACCACTGCACTCTAGCCTGGGCAATAGACCCAGACCCTGTCTCCAAGGGGAAAAAAAAAAAAAAAGAAAGGCAAATTTCATGCAGCATTGTTTCATTGGTTCCCCTTGTAAACACATTTAAATGTATCACAGGATCTGTAACTATCAAAACTGCCCACAGCATCAAATTAAAAATACAGTTCTAATCCAGACACGGCGGATGAAAGCGATCATGGCTAACTAGTGAAACAGCACTGATAGTCAAATGAAGGGCTGGAACCTTGAAGTAAAAAGAAGAAAAGGATCATCGAGAGAAAAGTTAGGATGGGCTAGACTTCTGGTTATTTCAGAAATGGGTAGCAAAAGACAAAGGCTCTTAACCTCCCAGAATTAGGTGACAACCTCAGCCAATCTATCTCCCTAGTAAAGCCAGAACTAAGATGGGAAAAAAAGACCATTTTTAAATGAACAAACCAAATTTATGCTTAGGGCTGTATTCGCTTAATGGAGGAACAGTCATTTCAAAATTAGTAAAACAAAAGCTTTATATGAAAAAACATAGTATAATTCTGAATGATTTTCATACAATCATTATCAAGCATAAGTGATACTGGATACCTGAAGCTGACATGAGGGAAAAAGCCTCAGGGAGATTTCACAACTTTGTACAGCAGTGGCTTGAAAGGATATAACTATATTTACCATAAAACAAGAAGTAGTCATTTTTACCTTACACAATTTATAAGAATTTTTAGAAAAATAGAAATAACTCACATGTAATTCAGGTATACCAAACTTTCCTGCCTTCCTACTAAATGGAACTAGAAAAGCAAAATGTTGATTTTTTCCAGGTACTCCAAAAATACCTTTATAATTTTAACCGTAATTTGTTTAGTCTAAAAAGGTACTCCTCCAATACCAGAAGCTACAGGTGAAAAACATATCTCTCAACTGAAGACAACTTCTTGAATAACTGTGTCACTGACAAGTTTACTCTCTGAGCTTCAGTTTCCAAACTGAGAAGGAGGAATAACTGCCCTGCCTGTCCCACACTTCTGGCTGCTGAAATAATCTCAATCAATTTCTTTTTTCTTTCTTTCTTTTTTTTTTTTACAAACTACATGCAAATTTAATTTTTCCAATTCATAAAGTAAAAGGGGTCCAATAAAACACTATCATGTCCTACCTCACAGGTTACTGTAGGTATTGTTTTCAAAATGTGAACAATACTACAGACTGAAGGTGGAAAAAAAAACTAGTTGAAAGTAGAATTAGTTTTTAAGGGCATGGCTAAGCCAAAATTAGAAATATATTTATAAGGCTGGGTGTGGTGGCCTACACATGTAATCCCAGCACTTTGGGAGGCTGAGGCATGAGGATCACTTGAGCCCAGGAGTTTGAGACCAGCCTAGGCAACATAGCAAGACCCCATGCTTATAGAAAATTAAAAAAAAAAATTAGTCAGGCATGGTGACACATGCCTGTGGTCCCAGCTTCTTGGGAGGCTGAGATGGGAGGATCACTTGAGCCCAGGAGGCTGAGGCTGCAGTAAGCCATGTTTGTGCCACTGCACTCCAGCCTGAGTGACAGAGAACCCCATCTCAAAAAAATAAATAAAAAGAAAAGAAATATATATAGGAATGGGAATTAGAACTCTCAAATGTAGAGCCACCCACTATGCCTACCCTTAAGCAAAATTGTCCCACCAATTCAAAATACCCAGAGACATGTCCATTTTCATGATCTTGTATGGACATATATGAGACTTATGAGATATTCATTGCAGCATTATTTCCAATAGCCAAGCTGTGAGAACAAGTTAAATGTCCACTAACAGAAAAAGGGATAAAGTAAATGTGGTATATGTAGAAAATGGAATATTATTCAGACTTAAAAAGGAAACCTTGCCATATGCAAAAACATGGATGAACCTTGATGACTTTATGCTACATGAAATCAACCAGTCACAGAAAGACAAATAATGCATGATTCCACTTGTGTCAGGTAATTAAAATAGTCAACCCCACAGAAAGAGTGTAGAATGGTGGATGCCAGGGGCTATGAAGACAGGGAAATGGGAAGCTGCTATTCAAGGGGTATAAAGCTTCAGTTCTAAAGAGTGAAACGTTCCAGAGATCTGCTGCACATCCTCATGCCTATAGTTAGCAATACTGTATTGTACACTTAAAAAATTGTTAAGAGGGTAGATCTCATGTTAGATGTTCTTACTACAATAAAAAAAGAAAAAGATACTGATGCACAAGAATAACTAATCTTTCTTCCCTCCCTTACCAAAAAGATTCCCCACAGGAGAAGGCAGAAAACTAATCCATTATTAAAGTGAAGAGAGGAGAGAGGAGCCAAGATGGCCGAATAGGAACAGCTCCGGTCTACAGCTCCCAGCGTGAGAGACGCAGAAGACAGGCGATTTCTACATTTCCATCTGAGGTACCGGGTTCATCTCACTAGGTAGTGCCGGACAGTGGGCGCAGGTCAGTGGGTGCGTGCTCCATCCGCGAGCCAAAGCAGGGCGAGGCATTGTCTCACTTGGGAAGCACAGGGGGTCAGGGAGTTCCCTTTCCTAGTCAAAGAAAGGGGTGACAGACTGCACCTGTAAGATTGGGTCACTCCCACCCGAATACTGCGCTTTTCTGACGGGCTTAAAAAACCGCGCACCAGGAGATTGTGTCCCGCACCTGGCTCGGAGGGTCCCACGCCCACGGAGTCTCGCGGATTGCTAGCACAGCAGTCTGAGATCAAACTGCAAGGCGGCAGCGAGGCTGGGGGAGGGGCGCCCGCCATTGCCCAGGCTTGCTTAGGTAAACAAAGCAGCCAGGAAGCTCCAACTGGGTGGAGCCCACCACAGCTCAAGGAAGCCTGCCTGCCTCTGTAGGCTCCACCTCTGGGGGCAGGGCACAGACACACAAAAAGACAGCAGTAACCTCTGCAGACTTACCTGTCCCTGTCTGACAGCTTTGAAGAGAGCAGTGGTTCTCCCAGCACGCAGCTGGAGATCTGAGAACGGGCAGACTGCCTCCTCAAGTGGGTCCCTGACCCCTGACCCCCGAGTAGCCTAACTGGGAGGCACCCCCTAGCAGAGGCAGGCTGACACCTCACACGGCCGGGTACTCCAACAGACCTGCAGCTGAAGGTCCTGTCTGTTAGAAGGAAAACTAACAAACAGAAAGGACATCCACACCAAAAACCCATCTGTACATCACCATCATCAAAGACCAAAAGTAGATAAAAACCACAAAGATGGGGAAAAAACAGAGCAGAAAAACGGGAAACTCTAAAAAGCAGAGCACCTCTCCTCCTCCAAAGGAACGCAGTGCCTCTCCTCCTCCAAAGAAACGCAGCTCCTCACCAGCAACGGAACAAAGCTGGACGGAGAATGACTTTGACGAGCTGAGAGAAGAAGGCTTCAGACGATCAAATTACTCCAAGCTACGGGAGGACATTCAAACCAAAGGCAAAGAAGTTGAAAACTTTGAAAAAAATTTAGAAGAATGTATAACTAGAATAACCAATACAGAGAAGTGCTTAAAGGAGCTGATGGAGCTGAAAACCAAGGCTTGAGAACTACGTGAAGAATGCAGAAGCCTCAGGAGCCGATGCGATCAACTGGAAGAAAGGGTATCAGCGATGGAAGATGAAATGAATGAAATGAAGCAAGAAGGGAAGTTTAGAGAAAAAAGAATAAAAAGAAACAAACAAAGCCTCCAAGAAATATGGGACTATGTGAAAAGACCAAATCTACATCTGATTGGTGTACCTGAAAGTGACAGGGAGAATGGAACCAAGTTGGAAAACACTCTGCAGGATATCATGCAGGAGAACTTCCCCAATCTAGCAAGGCAGGCCAACATTCAGATTCAGGAAATACAGAGAATGCCACAAAGATACTCCTCGAGAAGAGCAACTCCAAGACACATAATTGTCAGATTCACCAAAGTTGAAATGAAGGAAAAAATGTTAAGGGCAGCCAGAGAGAAAGGTCGGGTTACCCTCAAAGGGAAGCCCATCAGACTAACAGCGGATCTCTTGGCAGAAACTCTACAAGCCAGAAGAGAGTGGGGGCCAATATTCAACATTCTTAAAGAAAAGAATTTTCAATCCAGAATTTCATATCCAGCCAAACTAAGCTTCATAAGTGAAGGAGAAATAAAATACTTTACAGACAAGCAAATGCTGAGAGATTTTGTCACCACCAGGCCTGCCCTAAAAGAGCTCCTGAAGGAAGCGCTAAACATGGAAAGGAACAACCGGTACCAGCCACTGCAAAATCATGCCAAAATGTAAAGACCATCGAGACTAGGAAGAAACTGCATCAACTAACGAGCAAAATAACCAGCTAACATCATAATGACAGGATCAAATTCACACATAACGATATTAACTTTAAATGTAAATGGACTAAATGCTCCAATTAAAAGACACAGACTGGCAAATTGGATAAAGAGTCAAGACCCATCAGTGTGCTGTATTCAGGAAACCCATCTCACGTGCAGAGACACACATAGGCTCAAAATAAAGGGATGGAGGAAAATCTACCAAGCAAATGAAAAACAAAAAAAGGCAGGGGTTGCAATCCTAGTCTCTGATAAAACAGACTTTCAACCAACAAAGATCAAAAGAGACAAAGAAGGCCATTACATAATGGTAAAGGGATCAATTCAACAAGAAGAGCTAACTATCCTAAATATACATGCACCCAATACAGGAGCACCCAGATTCATAAAGCAAGTCCTTAGAGACCTACAAAGAGACTTAGACTCCTACACAATAATAATGGGAGACTTTAACACCCCACTGTCAACATTAGACAGATCAATGAGACAGAAAGTCAACAAGGATACCCAGGAATTGAACTCAGCTCTGCACCAAGCAGACCTAATAGACATCTACAGAACTCTCCACCCCAAATCAACAGAATATACATTCTTTTCAGCACCACACCACACCTATTCCAAAATTGACCACATACTTGGAAGTAAAGCTCTCCTCAGCAAATGTAAAAGAACAGAAATTATAACAAACTATCTCTCAGACCACAGTACAATCAAACTAGAACTCAGGATTAAGAATCTCACTCAAAACCACTCAACTACATGGAAACTGAACAACCTGCTCCTGAATGACTACTGGGTACATAACGAAATGAAGGCAGAAATAAAGATGTTCTTTGAAACCAACGAGAACAAAGACACAACATACCAGAATCTCTGGGACACATTCAAAGCAGTGTGTAGAGGGAAATTTATAGCATTAAATGCCCACAAGAGAAAGCAGGAAAGATCCAAAATTGACACCCTAACATCACAATTAAAAGAACTAGAAAAGCAAGAGCAAACACATTCAAAAGCTAGCAGAAGGCAAGAAATAACTAAAATCAGAGCAGAACTGAAGGAAATAGAGACACAAAAAACCCTTCAAAAAATTAATGAATCCAGGAGCTGGTTTTTTGAAAGGATCAACAAAATTGATAGACCACTAGCAAGACTAATAAAGAAAAAAAGAGAGAAGAATCAAATAGACGCAATAAAAAATGATAAAGGGGATATCACCACCGATCCCACAGAAATACAAACTACCATCAGAGAATACTAAAAACACCTCTACGCAAATAAACTAGAAAATCTAGAAGAAATGGATAAATTCCTTGACACATACCCCCTCCAAAGACTAAACCAGGAAGAAGTTGAATCTCTGAATAGACCAATAACAGGATCTGAAATTGTGGCAATAATCAATAGCTTACCAACCAAAAAGAGTCCAGGACCAGATAGATTCACAGCCGAATTCTACCAGAGGTACAAGGAGGAACTGGTACCATTCCTTCTGAAACTATTCCAATCAATAGAAAAAGAGGGAATCCTCCCTAACTCATTTGATGAGGCCAGCATCATCCTGATACCAAAGCCGGGCAGAGACACAACCAAAAAAGAGAATTTTAGACCAATATCCTTGATGAACATTGATGCAAAAATCCTCAATAAAATACTGGCAAACCGAATCCAGCAGCACATCAAAAAGCTTATCCACCATGATCAAGTGGGCTTCATCCCTGGGACGCAAGGCTGGTTCAATATATGCAAATCAATACATGTAATCCAGCATATAAACAGAACCAAAGACAAAAACCACATGATTATCTCAATAGATGCAGAAAAGGCCTTTGACAAAATTCAACAACCCGTCATGCTAAAAACTCTCAATAAATTAGGTATTGATGGGACGTATTTCAAAATAATAAGAGCTATCTATGACAAACCCACAGCCAATATCATACTGAATGGGCAAAAACTGGAAGCATTCCCTTTGAAAACTGGCATAAGACAGGGATGCCCTCTCTCACCACTCCTATTCAACATAGTGTTGGAAGTTCTGGCCAGGGCAATTAGGCAGGAGAAGGAAATAAAGGGTATTCAATTAGGAAAAGAGGAAGTCAAATTGTCCCTGTTTGCAGACGACATGATTGTATATCTAGAAAACCCCATCGTCTCAGCCCAAAATCTCCTTAAGCTGATAAGCAACTTCAGCAAAGTCTCAGGATACAAAATCAGTGTACAAAAATCACAAGCATTCTTATACACCAACAACAGACAAACAGAGAGCCAAATCATGAGTGAACTCCCATTCACAATTGCTTCAAAGAGAATAAAATACCTAGGAATCCAACTTACAAGGGATGTGAAGGACCTCTTCAAGGAGAACTACAAACCACTGCTCAAGGAAATAAAAGAGGATACAAACAAATGGAAGAACATTCCATGCTCATGGGTAAGAAGAATCAATATCCTGAAAATGGCCATACTGCCCAAGGTAATTTACAGATTCAATGCCATCCCCATCAAGCTACCAATGACTTTCTTCACAGAATTGGAAAAAACTACTTTAAAGTTCATATGGAACCAAAAAAGAGCCCGCATCGCCAAGTCAATCCTAAGCCAAAAGAACAAAGCTGGAGGCATCACACTACCTGACTTCAAACTATACTACAAGGCTACAGTCACCAAAACAGCATGGTACTGGTACCAAAACAGAGATATAGATCAATGGAACAGAACAGAGCCCTCAGAAATAATGCCGCATATCTACAACTATCTGATCTTTGACAAACCTGAGAAAAACAAGCAGTGGGGAAAGATTCCCTATTTAATAAATGGTGCTGGGAAAACCGGCTAGCCATATGTCGAAAGCTGAAACTGGATCCCTTCCTTACACCTTATACAAAAATCAATTCAAGATGGATTAAAGACTTAAATGTTAGACCTAAAACCATAAAAACCCTAGAAGAAAACCTAGGCATTACCATTCAGGACATAGGCATGGGCAAGGACTTCATGTCTAAAACACCAAAAGCAATGGTAACAAAAGCCAAAATTGACAGATGGGATCTAATTAAACTAAACAGCTTCTGCACAGCAAAAGAAACTACCATCAGAGTGAACAGGCAACCTACAAAATGGGAGAAAATTTTCGCAACCTACTCATCTGACAAAGGGCTAATATCCAGAATCTACAATGAACTCAAACAAATTTACAAGAAAAAAGCAAACAACCCCATCAAAAAGTGGGCGAAGGACATGAACAGACACTTCTCAAAAGAAGACATTTATGCCACCAAAAAACACATGAAAAAATGCTCACCATCTCTGGCCATCAGAGAAATGCAAATCAAAACCACAATGAGATACTATCTCACACCAGTTAGAATGGCGATCATTAAAAAGTCAGGAAACAACAGGTGCTGGAGAGGATGTGGAGAAATAGGAACACTTTTACACTGTTGGCGGGACTGTAAACTAGTTCAACCATTGTGGAAGTCAGTGTGGCGATTCCTCAGGGATCTAGAACTAGAAATACCATTTGACCCAGCCATCCCATTACTGGGTATATACCCTAAAGGACTATATGCACACGTATGTTTATTGCGGCATTATTCACAATAGCAAAGACTTGGAACCAACCCAAATGTCCAACAATGATAGACTGGATTAAGAAAATGTGGCACATATACATCATGGAATACTATGCAGCCATAAAAAATGATGAGTTCATGTCCTTTGTAGGGACATGGATGAAATTGGAAATCATCATTCTCAGTAAACTATCGCAAGAACAAAAAACCAAACACCGCATATTCTCACTCATAGGTGGGAATTGAACAATGAGAACACATGGACACAGGAAGGGGAACATCACACTCTGGGGACTGTGGTGGGTTGGGGGGAGGGGGGAGGGATAGCATTGGGAGATATAACTAATGCTAGATGACGAGTTAGTGGGTGTAGCGCACCAGCATGGCACATGTATACATATGTAACTAACCTGCACATTGTGCACATGTACCCTAAAACTTAAATAATAATAAATAAATAAATTTAAAAAAATCTCAAGAAAAAATAAAAAATAAAAAAATAAAGTGAAGAGAGTTATTTGTGTGAAAACGCTAAGCTAAAATTTTCTATGTATTTCATGCATTTTCTCATAGAAAGAGTATTAGACATAGTGTTTGGTGTAGAAGTGTTAACGATTAGCCTCTAAAATTAACTATCATTTACACTATAATTTCTACAGGAAAATGCAATATGATTTCCAAACAACCAATTAGTAAAACTTCCAAGAATATACCTCATTAAGAATGGTCTTGTATGCCAAAGGAATGGCAGGAAGCTTAAATCATGGATGCAATTGTGCAAATCATTCCTGTTAACTATGGGGAAAAAAGGTACATAACAATAAAAGTAACCAAATCATACAAAACATACCTTATTCCAGAGAGACTATCAAAGGCATGAAGATCTAATACATTAGAGAGATCAACTCTAAAAGGAAGAAAACTAACGTGAGCAGTTGGAAATTCTGTGAAATACATCCAATTAATCAAGAAAAAAAAACTCTGACTCTTAAAAAATTTTATACATAAAATTCATAGAAGTGGGCAAATGGTGTAAGATTTGAATCACAGTTGAATCAAGATTGAAAATTATTTGGTTATTACTTCAATGAATTAGGTTTTTTTTAAACTTTCAATTATCTTTTCAATGCTGAAATTTATGAGCTTTTCAAATACATTTTTATAGCTAAAAAATCAGCTAAAGAACAGAAACTTTTCCAAGCAGCTTATTACTCAAAAGATGAAACAAAAGAAATGACAAATAGAATTAACAAATAGGTACATTCCAGATACCTCTGCAATTTTTGTATTTCTTTTATACCCCCTCCCTTGATATAACATGTAATATAAAAATGAGGAGTCAAATAACCAATGTACAAAATATTAAGTTACTCTAGGACCCTGATCTTCACGTGATTTGATTTCATTCATTCAGAATGGGGCTGCATGTAGAAAGAAAATTCCCACCATCCGAATAGACATTATTTCTCTTAGAATTACTTAATGATAATTAAACTCATTTAATTGAATCCAATGATTCAAATCAGGTGAGAATAAATAACATATCACAATTAGCATTAGGTTTGGTTTAAATATAAAAAAGCAAATTTATAAAGACTGGTGATTGAGTTATAATTTTAACATAAGCCCAGAAAATCACAGAGGACAGGCTGGGCGCGGTGGCTCACGCCTGCAATCCCAGCACTTTGGGAGGCCGAGGCGGGTGGATCACAAGGTCAAGATCAAGACCATCCTGGCCATGGACAACGTGGTGAAACCCTGTCTCTACCAAAAATACAAAAATTAGCTGGGTGTGGTGGCACGCACCTGTAGTCCCAGCTACTCGGGAGGCTGCAGCAGGAGAATCATTTGAACCTAGGAAGTGGAGGTTGCAGTGAGCCGAGATTGCACCACTGCACTCCAGCCTGGCACAGAGTGAGACTCCGCCTCAAAAGAAAAAAAAAAAAAAAGAACAGCAGAGGACAGTGATTTCTCATAATCAAAGCTAAGGTGAAGAAATATTTAAAGAAAATGACAAATGTATAATTTCAAATTTAGATTCCAGAAGCTTGCCAAACATTTGTTAAATTTTCTTACAAGGAAAAAAAACATCATTGGTCAGATTCAAGATTTTTTTTTCTTTAATGCACAAACATATAAGAAAAAACATCTCCTTTATCTTAGGACTGACCAACTGTGCCTGCTTTCTTTATTCTCAACAGTCTATCACATACTCGTACTCGTGGCAACAATACTGTGTTAGATTACGAATGCTTGTCTTGGCAAAAGAGAGACAAATTCCCATCTTATTACTCCAAAGTTCTATGTTAGTAGACTATAACAGCAACTCAAATTCTGGGCATTTTAGATGTACAGAATTAGAAAAATGATCAAGCAAAGAAGCAAATGTTCTATGAAGAAATTTTTGAA
Source organism: Homo sapiens (assembly GCF_000001405.40). Classification (NCBI taxonomy): domain Eukaryota; kingdom Metazoa; phylum Chordata; class Mammalia; order Primates; family Hominidae; genus Homo; species Homo sapiens. The sequence goes on from NC_000009.12 coordinate 41,157,942, forward strand.
TATCAGTTTACACTAAAAGGCCAAAGTCTTAATATTAAACATATTTCCTTTTTCACCCCCCACCCCTCCCCCCGCTACTGAGCATATTTATATTGACAGGTCACAAACAAGGGGCACGGGGGCTCCACTTTGGGAGGCCAAGGTGGGCGGATCACTTTGAGGCCAGGAGTTTGACACCAACCTGGCCAATGTGGCGAAACCGTCTCTACTAAAAATACAAAAATTAGCTGGGTGTGGTGGTGCACACCTGTAATCCCAGCTACTCGGGAGGGTGAAGCAGGAGAATCGCTTGAACCCAGGAGGCAGAGGTTTCAGTGAGCCGAGATCGCACCACCGCACTCCAACTTGGGGGACAGAGTGAGATTCTGTCTCAAACCAGAGTGAGATTCTGTCTCAAAAAGATAAAAATAAATAAAAATAAAAATAAAAATAAACCAAATGAATGAAGTTTCCCTCCAAGTTTGTCATCTTCATCTTAGGAAATAGCTTAAAGTTTAATAAAGTTTACACATGCCAATTTTGTGAATATCAAATTCAACAGTTTGGAAACACAAGCTTCTAAATAAACTGTTTCACTGTGACAGTGTCCTTGAGAATACATGCCATCCAGAGGTAATTCTGCTTTATACTCAGATTCTTTCCATACTTCCAAAAAAGGATCAATATTAGACCTGTATAACAAATTACACTCTTTTACAGAAAATAATAAAATATCCAAGTCTCTCACCAAATTTTCAAAAAAGAGGAAAAGTGTAAGCTTCCAGATGAAAGTTTCTATAGCTTTCCCCAAATTTAGTACCACCATGAAAAAGAAATTCTTCACTCATTCAAGGCATACGACTAGAAAACTAATTTCCATGGCATCAAATTAATTTCCTCCTTTGGAGATAAAACCATGAGATCTTTTCCAAAGCATTAAAATCGCCAAGAAAAAAAAAAAAAAGGAAAAAAAAGACCATTACCAGCATTTTAAAACTGAGTAAGAGAATGAAGTAAACAAAAAAGGGAAAGAAAAAGCTTCAAAAGTTCATTTTTCTCCTAATTTCTTGAACTCTCTATTCCAGAAGTACCTAATGTTTTTCTTAAAAGAGAGGCTTTCAATTTTTCCCTATGTCTAAAGGCTGCTTTAAGTAGCTTAAGACCAAGGACAGGAAAGTGAAAACGAAGAGGGTTTTGGCTCTCCTCGGTGGGGGTGGAATTGCAGCTACTGCTTAGGGATATTTTCCAGTGGTCATCTCTTCAAACTCCAGTGAGTCTCATAAACAGGGTGCACCAGCCAATCCAAGTATCCAGTATCTACAATGCAAACTGTAGATACTATCCAAATTGACAGTAGATAGCTCAGTAAATAGCTGAGCAAACTGCAATGATAGCTCAGTCTTGAACTCTGGAAATAAATTTCCAAAAGCCTTCCCCAGTGGCACTTCAAACTCAAAAACGTTTACAAAACTAATCACATTTTCCAAACCTGCTTCCACCACTACCCGACCTGTTGCTCCTCCTTCCTGTATTTCCTATACCTCGGAGATTAGTCTCACATTGAATCTACCTCCCAAGAGGCATGTTGCTTTTAAAATCCTTCACTAACTCCTTGCTCCCTACAGAAGAAAATCCAAACTATGTATCATGGCATTCAAGACCCTTTGTGGTAAGTTCTCTATCTCTTCAGTCATACCACTTTTTCTGTGCTACATAATACCAAGTTTTCTAGCCATTCTAAAATATTCAAAGGTCCCTGGAATACAAAATCTTCCTTATACCTGGAAAGTTATCCCTACCCTACTCCATCTGTAAAAACCTTATTCATTCTTTAAGACTCAGGTCAATGACTGCCTTCTCGGTCAATATTTTCCTGACTCTTTTTCAAGAAAAGTTGAGCAATCATTCCCTCTATTTTCCTATTATTATAGAACTCTGTGCTTTTAAAATTCTTGTATTAATATTAATATCTATTATGTTGCCTTTTTGTTTGTTTGCTTCTGTTTCCCCCCAATGACTGATCTCCTTAAAGGCAGAGTTTTTGCCTTATCCATTGCTTATATAGTCCTTAAAATGCTATGAAATGCATAGCAGGCAGTTTGTCAAATTAATTTAACTTATTATTGACCAGCTGTGTTTTGGTTTTCCTCTGTTCAGTCCACTTACATTTCTAAAAATTAAGAAAAAGTCTAGAGAAGATTAAAATGACACATCTTCTAACCTTTTACTCCTACTTCTGAAATCTATGTGGTTCACTAGTACTTCCATTTGCTACTAAATCAACTTAAGTCTTACCACTAAGACGATGCTACACACTATTCCTTTTCCTTACTCTTAACTACTCAAGGTGAGCCTTTTTCTACACATGCTTATAGCAGTTTATTGTCAGTACTTGTCAGCTACAAAATGGTAAAAAAATTTTAAAAAACAAAAAATAAAACAAAACTTCTATAAGAGTGACTTTGACTATTTTGTTAACCATATCTCCGGGTTTTTTGTTTGTTTGTTTGTTTTTTTTTTGAGACAGAGTCTCGCTCTGTCACCCAGGCTGGAGTGCAGTGGTGCGATCTCAGCTCACTGCAAGCTCCGCCTCCCGGGTTCACGCCATTCTCCTGCCTCAGTCTCCTGAGTAGCTGGGACTACAGGCGCCCACCACCAGGCTCAGCTAATTTTTTGTATTTTTAGTAGAGATGGGGTTTCACAGTGTTAGCCAGGATGGTCTCCATCTCCTGACCTCGTGATCCGCCCACCTTGGCCTCCCAAAGTGCTGGGATTACAGGCGTGAGCCACCGCGCCCAGCCCAAATCTCCAGTTTCTAAACTGGTAAGCTCAAGTTGCTATGCCTCAAGGAATTTGAGAGAATATTTAATATAAGATTCAGGACCCAATAGTAAGAATTCTACTCAGGACATCTGATCTTCATTGAAAAGGATTCTAATCCAACTTCAGTCCTCATAGCAAGGAAGTACTATTTCAGAAAGTCCCTAGATTCTCAGATGCATTGGCAAGCACCATACACTGAAGAATTCACAGAAGATTTTAGTCACTTGCTCACTCATCCACTTGAAGTAAGAAAAATCAATCACTGCATGTTTATTGTTCTATAATAAAGCAAATGTTAGAAATAAAAGTTAGAAATGTCAAACACACTAAATTGTTACATAATAAACTAATCAAGACACAACTTTTATTCAGGACATGGATATTTCTGAAATGAAAATAAAAGAAGAGAATTGACTTAAAATGTTTATAAATACGAATATTATGACAGAACCAAAGCTATTTATGAGCATTATTTTTAAAAGCTTGTTTAAGTATCATGCACTTGTCTGTGTGACATTTTGTAAAGCGGAGAAAAATTAAGGAGAAAGGAATTGTAGAACACTAACAGGAAGAGGACAGATACTGAGGAATGGCTCATGGTATAAGTGAGATTATCAGAGACTCTCTACAATGGAATTTGAAACGCAGGGAGCACATTTGGTGTATGGTTGTAGAGGACTTACACTAAGGGCATTCTTCTGCTACCTCTGCCAGCAGATGAGTGGCTCCTGAGAATGCATACCAAATTAATTCCCCAGCTGTTCACATGCATATAAGCAGCTGCTGCTGTTACTGCCTAATACTTATGGCAGTCTGTCAGCACCTCTAATCTCTGCCATAGCAGACAAGCCACTCACCTAAGGCCTCTGCTGTACTTCCAAAGAAAGAATTTCTCAAGTAGAGACTGAGTGGAACTAGACTGCCAGCTGTGAGCCTCAGAGCTCCTGGCTGCCTGTTGCTGAGTCTATCAGCTGCTGAGCCTTTCTCACCAAAAAAAAAAAAAAAAAAAAAAAAAAAATGAGCTTAATAAAATAACCCTGCACAGAAATTTTCTGAAATTAAGATAACATTCAATGGAAAACAGAATTTAATCTACAGAAATACACTTCACAGATGTTTTAGGAACAGAACCTAGAGAAAATGAAAGTCAAAATTTAATAAAAGAATTTGTCAGGAACTTCAAGGTAAAGACTCCATGTATTTTTTGGCAACTATAAAACACTAAGAAGGCTTTTTAAATATTAAAAAGCCATTTAAACACTTCAAATTAAGATTCCTCAATATACTTCAGATTTCTGTACTGAGTTACCCTCTCGAGTGTTTGGAAGTCTTTTCTTCCTCATTAAGCAAACACTTACACAGTGTTATCATGGCTTTGTAATCTTAGTTTTGAAGACAGGCAAATGTACTAGCCAAATATGCCAAACTAACTTATTAAGAGCATTCCAAACAACATTTTGGATCCAATTCTTTTTAAATGCACTTAGATCTTTCTTATATCAGAATCAAGCATATTTGTCAATTACTTAATGTTTATTATTAATAACTAAAATGATTTGTTATTAATAGGAATAGCTTTTTTAAAGTACCTTGATCTTTGTGTTTCTAAGATTTGTCCTAGTCCATTTATGGATCTGAAATAAATAATAAATGAGGAAGACAAAGTTTAAAAGTAAAAATTAACTTTTTAAAAAAGTATACAAAGTATATTGTTTCTAAAACGGGAAATAAGCATACCCAAATACATCTGGAACCAGAAAAAAATTAAAAACAGAAAAACAAAACTTGCTTTAAAAAATAATTATGATTTTCCTTCAAACAATAAATCACATATATTCCACTCATACATCAATAAAACATATATGCAAAAATTCACACAACTGTCAGATTAAGGGATACTTTGTGGTTAATAAAAAGACGCTTCACTTTAGAAAAAATCATTCATAAATAGTCAGTTATCCCAGTGTTCTTAAAAATGAGCAGATACTCAAAATTTTTACGGTGGTCACTTTTTTCCTCAGGCATACATGGTAGAAATGGCTATATACACACTAAAAATAAAAACCTAGTTGTAAGTTGCTTTGCCCCCAGCCTGTCCTTAGTATTCACAGTAATTCTAAGTCACACATCCCAGGTTCCTTTATAGAATAACCTCGTCAGTTCCCTAATTAGGCTCTCTACCCGTTATGCCTGTTCTCCCTCTTTTGATACTATAGAATATGGCTTTGTATGGAACCAGAAAGTACCTGTTAAATTCTTTTCAACACACTGTACACCTCATCTATTTATCTTTTCCATTGCCTATCATCAATCATCAATTCTCTATCATGAATTCAATTGTCTTTAGGGTTACTTACCCAAGATTCTTGCTACTTGTTCAAGTTTGTTCTCATGGGTAAGGCTTCCCACATATAATGATTCTGAGGCAAGTCTCTCCACTATTTTACAAAATTCTTAAATCTTCTTTTTTGAATACACTCTAGTCTGATGGCTAATTCCTCTCAAACATGTTTACCTTTTTTCACCTCCCCAAATATCATTCTGAGTCAGTCACAAGTCTGATATAAACGGAGGGTAAAAGCCAAAAGGGTGTGTAATTTACCAAATTGCTTCTACCAAATTCATTTCTAGTACTGTTAACAAGCTGGCTAATAGTCAATATTGTCAGTGTCAGAGATTTAGCTTAGGTCTCTATAAGGATATAAAAGTCAAGTAATAATTATCATTCCTTTTATGCCAAAAACGTTTGCTAAATAGATTGTGTTCTTCTTAGCAATCACAATGGTGCACAAGATTTATGAAGAGAAACAAGATTAGAAGACCAGTGTCAAAAAATGTAAAAGCAATCTTCATTCATCACTTTCTCCTTTTCAAAATCAGCCATCTTTTTCTTTCTTCCCTTTTTTACTATACCTTGAACTTACTATGTAAGCTAAGAAAAAAATTACATAATAATAGCTAACAGAGCACTTACTATGTGTCAGCACTGTGCAAAGTTTACCAACATTGTCTCATGTAATACTCAAAGCAAACTTATGATAGGCATTATGCCTTTTACAGAGGAGGCTTTAAAAGGGTAAATAAGCTCCCTAAGAAGACAATGAGAAACAGACCAAGGATTAGAACCCAAGCAGATTCCAAGGTCTGTGATCTTCAACACTACGCAACAATACCTACCCTCCACATGGAGACATTATATTTTTTTATAGTAAAGTTTAAGGACATTACTATTAAAATAAGATGAAATATGTGGAAAAAATATGAATTTCTTTCTTCCACAATCATTAATCATGGCAAATAATCTCCTAATGAGCCTTACTTTTATTGATTCAATTTATAATATATACTATATGAACTGAGATGACACATTCAAAATCTAGTCAGTAGAACTTATAAATACTAAGAATAGTAATTTTGAGCCATCACGCTCAAAGCATTGTACACATTAAAGATAACCAATAATAATAGCTACCGAATGTCTCTCTGTATAGGGCTTTTATTAGTTCAGGTCTTACAAAATAATTCAAAACAAAGTCCCTGAACTATAACTTCATTTGAAAAGTCCATCTTTGTTTTCAAAAGGAATGGGAGTCTCCAGAACAGTCAGCAAAATGACTGTTAGCACATATTTCAGCATCATTCATATTGTCCTGATTGTCCTATGCTGATCAGCCTTGGCTATGGACAAAGAAGATATACAAGCAAGCTGGAAGACAATGCATGGTTGACAGTTAAGGAAGATGAAGTCAACAAGAGTTCAGGGAAAACTGAGACCACTTGAGTCAGGGAAGACTTCACATAGGAAGGGGGGAGAGACAGAATAGGCTCTATAGAATAAATTAAAAAAAAAAACAGAACAAGAAAGAACTCAGGGATTGGCAGAGTGAGAATACATTATGAGTAAAGACAGGAACTGACAGGATGCATCCATGGGAAAGTGAATTAACCATCCTGGGTAAAGTTAGGGAAGACTGACATTAGGAAAGAGTCAAAGAGAAGACAGGAAAAGAAAGATGGAGTGCGAAGACCCTGAATATCAGTCTATTAACTGTGAACTATATTCTGCAAGCACTGGGGACTAATTTTATGTATTACCATTTATATAACAATTAGCCATCAACAATATATGTGATTCCCTAACGTTCTTGAAGCAGGTCAACCTTATACCTTAAGTTTCTACAGGGCAACAATCAGAGTAAAAAACATTCTGTGTATACAATATGGATCTGTAGGCACTTAACACACATCATTTTGTACCTAAGTGTCGTTCTTAATTTCTTTACATCTTCTTCTGGGACCAAGTCTGTTTTATTAATGAGAATGATATCTGCCAAAGCAACTTGCCTAAAATAGCAAACAAAAAGAAATGTTAAGAAATTTTAAATAATATACACGCATGCAGATTAATACATCAAAAGAGAAATGTTAACAAATTAAAAATAAATAAAAACACCTCATGTAGATCAATATATCAGTTAAGGATTATATAGTGCTCTATAGGAGTGATTCAGTTTACTCCTAATCCGCTAATTTTTCAATGTGAATGAATTGTATTCATTACTATGCAAGTTCAGATTTCACATTACCCATTTGCAAAGTATTTACTAAGTTCTGTTACTTGCTACTCTTGTGCTACAAAGATAAGTCTCAAAAAGTTTACAATCAAAAGGATGATTTTAAACTCATAATTTTCTTTGTGAAGAAAAGCATAAAATTCAGATATCCAATATGGTAAAAAGAAGAAGAGTTTACCTACTAAAATACTGTAATATTTACCAAAATTTTCAAAGAAATAGAATAACTTCACTTAATACTAAAAACTGTATTAAACAGGTTTTTTAAAACTATACTTCAGAGCTGGGCATGGTAGAGCACACCTGTAGTCCTGGCTACTTAGGAGGCTGAGGAGGGAGGATCCCTTAAGCCCAGGAGTTCAAGTCCAACCTGGGCAACATAGCAAGACTCCATTTCTTAAAAAAAATAAGCTATACTTCAGAAGATATATCAGGATATTGCACAAATGTCTTCTTTATCACTATAAATATACTGTATATTATCTCTGTAAAGAATCCAGTTGACTGAATGCTAGATAACAAAGTAGATGATAATAATCAGAAGCTCTATTTTCTATTAACAGGATAGTAAAACTGGAAATTCTTTCAATTTTCCTCAATTATTCAGGGTCTTATGCTTTATCTCAAAGAATACAACTAAATTCTCAAAACTAAATTAACTTTAGTTCACTGAAAGAGCAGGTTTCAACAGTATGTACATCACAAATCCAATTTGGCTATTTTCTATTTGGCTTATTTATATTTTCTATAATAACCATATTTTCATAAGGAAAAAAGTTACAAAAATACTTAAGTTCAGCCAGGCGCAGTGGATTCATGCCTGTAATCCCAGCACTTTGGGAGGCCGAGGCGGGTGGATCACCTGAGGTCAGGAGCTCGAGACCAGGCTGGCCAACATGGTGAAACCCCATCTCTACTAAAATAAAATAAAATAAAATAAATAAAATAAAAAAATGCAAAAATTAGCTGGGCATGGTGGCGGGTGCCTGTAATCCCAGCTACTTGGGAGGCTGAGGCAGGAGAATCGCTTGAACCTGGGAGGCAGAGGTTGCAGTGAGCCTGCACTTCAGCCTGGGTGACAGAGTGAGATTCTGTCTCAAAAAATAATAATAATAATTATTATTATACATATATATATATATATATATATATATATAAAATCTTCAATCCCAAAGAAATTGTATAACAAGAAAATATTTTTAAATGTTAATATTTCCCGAGTTCCTCAAAATTACAGAACTCCTGTGTTCAGCATTCACTTTATGCTACGACAAAAATGACTTCAAGTAAAAGTTTAGTTATGAGATCATTATAAATAGATAGCAATAATTCAACTAAGGGAAAAAAAGAAAACAAATTTTCCTTGACTATGTTTTAAAATTTCTTAGTTTGTTTTTGGTTTTCATCTTAGTGATTTTTCTCTTTACGATTAGCCAGCAATCAATATATACTTTAAATATGAATACCTAGTAGCTTCATTGATAAGGCCATCAGGTTTCTCTTCTGTTAAATGCTAAACAAAAAAAAGTTTGAATAAAGTTACTATAATACAATAAAAAATCTAATGTCAACACAAAGGATTTTACTTTAGAGACATTTTCTTGCATTTAATAAAAACTTCAACATGTTCTGTTACTGAATACACAAATCCAAAACTAACTTTTCTAGCTGAAAGCATTTTTCTTCCCCATTTGCAATTTTTTTCTACAAGTGAACCTGTGGGGTTTTATAGGGGGAGGAAGAGGGCTTAGGATTTCATACTCCTGACCTTTTCTTTTACTTAAAAGGAAAACCCCTTTGATTCACATAATGTCATAAAAACATAGAAGATTACAGTTCAGATTTTAGGTATTTTCCTTCTTACAAAACTGTTCTGGTTCTAAATATTCATTATTACTTATTTTAAAAAAAGGATAACCACTGAAATATAGTTTCTTAGAATCTAATATACTTCCCTTCACACCAAACCCCCATATTAGAATCTAAAATACTTCCCTACACCCCAGCCCACAATCATGCACCACGTGAACTCAGTACTAGGCCTTTCAAACACCCTAGAAACAAATAAGTGGTGGGAAGGCTGATTCAGCCCTGATTCTAGCCTAAAAGCAGTTTATCATTTAGAAACCCATACTTGCTAATCTGGCCTCTCAGTGCAACTGTTTATTTTACTGACCTCTCCAGAGTCAGGCTAACTCCAAAAAATATTTTGACACTGACTTAGAGCCCAAGTGGTAGTTTCCATCTCTCTGGAGGCAAGTTTTGTTGTCTGTTTTTTTTTTTCCCCCTCATAATCCTGTTTACATCCCTAACGTCATCAACATCACAAGCTTCTTCTCTGGGAAATTACACTTTTACCCTCATTACCTCAAACCTCAATAGAGGTTCCCTGTCACAATAAAAAGCTGGCTACTGAGGTTTAGAGGCAACTAGATTATAGTAATACTCTATATTTGAAGCCAACTTTACAAATGAATTAAATCCTTGAATCTAACTTTATAAATTATATACATTTTTCTCATTTAGCTTTCATAATAATTATGGGAGATGGCTATTTTCATTTATAAAGGAAGAAACTAAATCTAACACCCTCATCATCACAGGATACTATATTTTATATGCAATCACAGGGACTTTTTTTTTTAATTGAACACACACCCATCAAGTAAAATGAACATAATTTTAAAGCCTTTGTGAAATCTTTTATGCCACATAAAATCAGCCTGTGTACAATGCTACACAAATGTCAATAACCATATATCAGAGCCAAACCAGTTTCATAATTCATGGGGAGATGATCATTAGGGGTATCTGAATAGTTTGGAACCTCAGAGCAAGCAGGTAATAATTTTATTTAACAAGCTTGATTAGGTCTATAGAAGAAACATTTTTTCCTTCTAAAAGTTCAGCAAATTCTATTTTGAGGAAAACAAAACTGAAATAAAATCATGGCAATGATACTTCTACTTCAGGCAAAATTTTGTTCAATTCAACTGCAGACCCACTCTGCAATTATGGAAGTCACAGAACTTGACAAGTATTGTATCAAAAATCATTCCATGCCAAAAGATCAAGTTTAATATTTTTTTCATAATTCATCTTGGCCTGAGGCTACAAGTCCTATTGTTATATACTCTGCCTCTAGAGAATGAGGCTGCTAACAGACCTTGGAATGGTGCCTGGCACAAAGGCTCAAGAAATATTTGTTGAATGAATTGTAATTAACACCTCCTGTTGTGGGGATACATAAAAGATGTTACATGAAAAATGCCATCTAACATGCAGCAACAAATCTCTTCCCATTAAGCAGTAAATCTACTTAACAATGATATATTTTTGTCAAGGCATCTGCCTCTGAATGATCCTATAGTACTGAAAATTCTTTTTAAACTGAAATATTTTTCAAGATATTATATTATTGACCTTATGAAAGCTTTTTTAACATATGAAATTGGGGTTATTTGGCTATGAGTTTGTGAGGCATAAAAATGATATGACAGAAGAATTACAGATTTGTTTTTGCATTTCCATGCCTAAATGTAACTAATACAATGTTAGTTTCACAAGGTAATGTGCAATGTTTTAAATGCATTTACCTCTCCAAAATATTAGAATTCTTCACTCAAAGCTAACAGTGGTAGACTAACGTTTTACTACTTCCAGGCAGTCAGAAAGTATCAAATATAAAAATAAATGAAAATCACCCCAAATGAGAGCCTGCCAATATTTACAGCTGTATTAAAATTATATGTAATCATATACAATTATAGCAGAAGAGATAAATGTCCTCTTCTATGCCCATAGGAAAGCTATACAAACATTTAAAAAAATAAGTGCATCTTAACATTTATTTTCTTTAGACATCAGCCCTGCATTTCCCTCATGTGACTTCCTACCTTCCCAAATCAAACTCTGCAAAAAGTATAAAATCAATGTCTTCTATTCAAAAGAACATTCTCCAATAATACATTATATACCATTTGGTCATTAAGTCAGATGACTTTCATTTATAAAATAAAACAAAATGGAAAGTTTGGCATTCTATTCCACCTGTATAAGTAAATGAAGAAAAAATTTTTGCAAAATATTTTTTAAATATTTTATATTACATAGATGTCCAAAGTATTCCTTATCTCTGCTTAACAACTATGGCTTTTGCTTATATATCAAAAAAGACAAAAATAATTTTGATACTAATTAATCCAACATATTCAAAAGGCTAAGGATCAAAACCCCAATTTAACTTACCACAAGAAACAAAGGAAATTAAAGGGGAGTGGTGTGAGATGTTGGTCAAAGAATACAAAGTTTGTTATACAAGATGCATAAGTCATGGAGAGCTAATTACAGCATGATGACTGTAGTTAATTCTATTGTATACTTGAATCTGCTAAAACATAGATCTTAATTGTTCTTACCACCCCCTCTCAAAAAAATAGCAATGTGAGGTGATGGATAATGTTTGATAATGTAATTCACACACTGTATACCTTAAATATATATAGTTTTTACTTGTCAATTATACCTCAATAAAGCTGGGGGGTTAGAGAGAGAAACAAAGGAACTCTCTGAAATAACACCACTGTAGACCTAACTTCATGAAGGGCTATAGGGTGTCCTTTTCTGCAGAAATAAAGAAAGAAGCCGGACCGAAAAAAGAGAAAGAAAGAAAAGAAAAAACTATCTTAAAACCCACTGGCTATGAAAGAACACTGCTGTTGACCAGAGTGGAAATAAATCTAGTGTCAAAGATGTCTGGTGTCATTTTTAAAAAGCAGCAGCAGGAACTATTTCTTTCAAATGGATTGGTTACAGATGTAACACTATTTTAGTTTTTAAAAAATTATTGCATAATGTCAGTCTATTTATTGTTCTGGCCTTTTCCAAGCTAACTGTTTTCTGACTGAATTGTTTCAACAGATTGTGCAATATAACAGAGGAACCAAGAAGAAACCTCTCACTTGACCTTCTCTGGGTAACTTCATTCATTGCTTCTATTGCATTAAATGCTGTCACATTTGTAGAACTGAAAAGAACAATGTCAGTAGCCCGGGTGTCAAGTCCTCAGAATAGAGAGCTGTCATTTTAAGTTGTCCAATTCTTTGCCTATGATTAAAAAATGAATATTTCAGATCAATGGGTGACAATCCCATTAGAGTGATACCCCATGATATCAATTACCACTTCAGTTTCAATTTGGCTGGCTGGCCACAGGGTACCATTTCTCAACTTTACTTGTCATGGGCTGGCTCTGTGAAGCATGACATTCTTAAATTGCTGCCCATTATCCAAGTGTCATTACTTGTACTGCCTCAGAATTCTCTGAATCACAAGCAGCTACTGAGGTCAAGCTTTGCAACCAGAGGAATTGGACAAGTTGGAAAATTCTTTATATCAAGGCAAAGTTATTTATCTGGCATCCGACTTAGAAAATTTAAAGTTTCCATTATCCTGACAGTGTGTCAGTTTCATGTAGGTATATTGATTTAATAATTTAAGAGGTTTTATCAAGGTAGCAGAAGGTTAAACGTTTACTGTGTTTGCATTATTCAGAATGTTGCTTTGCTTTTTTGGCCTCCGTCATGCTGATAATAGATTCTATTTAACTCTTCTCCATACCCAACTATACATATAAAATTTTTCCTATAATCATAAAATACATAAACAGTTTGACTTTTAGCATGGCATTTTCAGTCTATCAAAATAAAAAAAAAACAAAATGTCTTAGCAGTTATCTGTCACATAGGTATATCAAATTTTGTAATAAATTTATGGAAGAGGTAGATTCAAACATGCCTATAATAAACATTCAAAATGAATAATTTGGGGCTTTTTTGCTACCTCCATAAGCATTTTGCAAGAAATATGATTTCCAACAGTCATTGGAATTTTTCTGCGTGAAACTGTAATACTGTATTTGGGATCATTCTTTGATTCTTAAATTATATTCATAAATTCATAAATTGAGATTTTAAACTCTAAAAAACGAGTTTTCTTCCAAACTTTTCAAACTAGGGCACTCTATCAACGAGGGAGAGAAGGCCCAGTGAAGAGGTATTGGTAGCTATTTGACAAACCTGACATATCCCCTTAGAGCATAATTTCAGCAAAGATTTGGGAAAAAAAAGCAAACTTAAACATTAACAAGTTCAGGCCGGGCGTGGTGGCTCATGCCTGTAATCCCAGCACTTTGGGAGGCCGAGGCAAGTGGATCACTTGAGGTCAGGAGTTCATCACCAGGCTGGTCAACATGGTAAAATCCTGTCTCTACTAAAAATACAAAATTAGCTGGGCATGGTGGTGTGCACCTGTAATCCCAGATACTCAGGAGGCTGAGACAAGGGAATCGCTTGAAGCTGGGAGGTGGAGGTTGCAGTGAGCCAAGATGGTGCCACTGCACTCCAGCCTGGGCAACAGAGTGAGACTCTGTCTCAAAAAAAAAAAAAAAAATTAACACGTTCAGATATGAGGTTGGATACAAAACAGACACTAATTTTTAAACACTGAATTTAAACTTCTAAGAACTTACTGCTTTGGGCCCTATCCATATGCTCAGATTGGGAACGGGTCAGTGGGTGGGATGATTTCATTCTCTTCTGCCTTTAGTGGTATTTCACCTGGGAAGTTGAGAAACATCATTTTACTGTATGTAACAACATACTTTTAAAGATCTTACTAAATGCATTTTATAAATTAAACCTCATTTAAATGCATTCTAGGACCTTAGAAGTTAACAAAAACATTCATAGCAGGATGTCTTTTACACTTGATCTTAGCCAAAAGACCAAGAAGCGATGCAAGATGCCTTTTAATGGAGAGAGTCTTCTTACTAATCCTATGTGTATATCCTGATTTTCTTCAATATGTACTTTTTAAATTTTAAGTTCCAGGGTACATGCTCACGATGTGCAGGTTTGTTACATAGGTAAACGGGTGCCATGGTGGTTTCCTGCACCTATTAACCCATCACCTAGGTCTTCAATATTTTTTAAAAACTCATTTCCAGTGTGTGTTTAATAGTAATTTAACAAGAAAAATAAGATCTCAGATGCTTTATCAAGCTCAGCTTCTTCTATGGAACAGAAAAACTTACCAATATTGGGGTTGAATCCTTGTGAAGAGCTATACATACCAAACTCTATCCTAACCCCATATGCTTATTACAAATTATAATTCCAAATTTTATCACCAAATCAAACTCAGAGTAATAGAAAAGAAATATTTAACACAAACTAATAATTAAAACACAAATTTCACCTATTGTTCAGGATATCTTTTTGAGAAAGGTTTTTGTTAAAGAAAATTTCAGATACAAACATAAAGAAAATTAAACAATCAATCCCCATATTCCCAGCTCTCAATAATGAGCCACTCATAGCAATCTTTCAACTTACTTTTAATCCATATTTTGAATCCACAATAGTTATGATACCTACAAAGGAAAAAACATTTTAATCACTTTTTAAAAAGAATGCTTATTAATACTTGTGCAACCATACTTCAGAATGAAAATTAAAACTAACCTATTTCAGTTCACAAATACTACTCAATAAAACAATGTACTGTTTTTTTCTCTTGCCAGTGCTGCCATTTAATTAAATTCCAGTAATAAGTCAATGCATTTCCTGAGTGGCTAGCACTATTTTAAGGCACTAGAGAAGATATAAAACAAATAAAAATTTTAAATTAAATAAATAAGAAAATAAGATTTCCTTGGCACTGAAAAAGCTTACAATCCAAAATATAAGTCAAATTTCATAACATAGTCAAATGTGATAAGTACATAAGACAGGTTATTTCTAGTTTATTTTCACATAATCAAAATCAAGACTTTTCTTAAGATTTAAATTATTGCCTAAAGAATGAGACATCTTAAGGTATCATTCCTAACATCTCTCACCAAATCCAAATCCAACTCATAAATGTTTTACATAACATATGCCTAAGTTTCCAAACTACCAATTCATTTTGCAATCTCTGAATATATGCTGATAACAAAAGAATGAGTTTAATTATGCCTAAGGAATTCAACCAGTTACCCGCCACATATATTAGAGCTCAATGATGGGGCCCAGCTTAATAATTCTTAAATTTCTTAATGATTATTACTTTTGAAAAAGTAAGAAAATTTCGACTGGTTTTTAAAAAGGTGAAAAAGGGAAAGAGAAAGGGAGAAAACATAGTCGCTTAACTAAGAAAGTTTCTAATATATTTTAAATGAAGGCATATCATTGCCCAAAAGTGTTCAGGTAAATAAAGTAAGGGAGGAGTGTTTAATTCTTATCTTCAAGAGAAAATAAAAGCAAAAATATGATCCTCATATTGCCTGGAGGATTAAAATAAAAGGCTCTAACATTATATTAAGGGCATAAATCAAACAACAGAGGATACAGAAAACCTACAAAGCATTTTTTTTTTTTAAAGAAAACCTTAGTGGAAGCACTAAATTGGAAGTTGAGTGACATCGAGTTCCACCACTGTCTGGGGTTTTTTAATCTATATGAACAAAGATTTCATCATTAAACTAAAGTGTGAAAAGAACAACAATGCAAGGAATTAAAGTTATAATATGAATGAACAACAATAAGCTCAACCATAAAGATTTTACTAAAAAACAAAAGAGGCAGGGTGTGGTGGCTCACGCCTGTAATCCCAGCACTTTGGGAGGCCAAGGCTGGCGGATCACCTGAAGTCAGGGGTTCAAGACCAGTCAGGCCAACATGGCAAAACCCCGTCTCTACTAAAAATCCAAAAATTAGCCAGGTACGATGGTGCACGCCTGTAGTCCCAGCTACTCGGGAGGCTGAGGCAGGAGAATCACTTGAACCCAGGAGGTAAAGGTTGCAGTGAGCCGAGATCATGCCACTGCACTCCATGCACTCCAGTCTGGGCAACAAAGTGAGACTCTGTCTCAGAAAAAAAAAAAAAAAAAAAAAAAAACAAGAAAGATAAAAGAAAACTGTTTTTTAACTTACCATCAAGGTAAATATCACTCCCTAATTCGGCATCAACCCAAAACATAGAAGCCACTGCACGTGAAAATATATAATATTCATCAAATAAAAATATTTCTTCACATTGAGAAACATGATTCTATCCATGTTTTAATTTGCCCTGATAAAATTAACAGGTAAACACATATATCTTCTTATGGAAATTATAGTGATAGAAGCTTTAACTATTTATAGCAAAAGGGAATTATAGTGATAGAACCTTTTACTATTTATACCCATTCCATTTCCATCTCTCTTGTTATTTCCTTTAAAAAAGACCAATTCTAACCACATATAAACAAAACATCATTCTTCTACCGATGCCATAATAATTTAATTAACAGATATTATCAAACAATTTGAGCAGTATGGCTTTGTGCACATCAGACTTATTTTTATTTTCTCACCTCTTTAATATGATAATCATTCAATCATAAATAGTGAATTATCACTCTAAAGGAAAAGGAAAACAAAACATAGATAATTCCAAAATCACTTGCCCAAAAAAAATTTACTTGTAATCTGTGTAGAACTAGAAGTAAAATTATATACTCTATGGCATTACTAATTATTCCTCACACTAATTATTTAGGACTGTATAAAACCTGGGTCTTAGGAAAAATTTTTCCTAAATAATAAATTAAAACTTGCTTTTGACAGAAATTGGTTCAGTACCAAACCACGTACCCTGATTAGTATGCCACAACGCAAGAAAAAGAAAACTGACAGCAAGGAAAGTATTTGATTTTTGAAAGCATCACAGGCCCAGTTAGTGACAGGGCTGTCTAAAAGAATAAGTGTAGGAGAAAAACAAGGATAATCAAACTCATTCCAAAGTCTAAAGCTGTCCACCTGCTCTGACAAGATGTGGTCCCCCAAGCATCACTCTGTGTCAACAATGAAATAACGGTCAGCTGTTTACAGTGATTACTCATGCAAGATATAGCAAGGGCCACAAGATCTAATGGTTTCCTGATACCTATTGATTTTTTTCCCAAAAACGTAATAGTTTTCCAATTTGACTCAAATAGGATTTGTGAGTAACAGGGGCTGAATCAATGTCCGTTCTTTTCAAGGAAATTACTTTACCATGACAATTATTTAACTTAGAACTGGAGAGTGTCAGTCTCCAAAACGGGAAACAACTGAATTGCCAATAAGAATTCTGTTCACTTTCTTGGCTAAAACATGATTTTAATTAATGAGGGGGAAAATTAAATCTACTGTATCACTACTCCAAACAATAAGTCATTTAAAAAAGCATGAATTTTTTCACTCAGTAAAATATCTAACATACATAAATCATTTTGTAATTTTTAAAAATTCATTGATTTTTAGTCTAATAAATAGTTTACAAATCCTACTGTTAATATTTGCCTCTTAAGTTGAAATGTAAGAGTATATTAATGCTTTATTCTAAAACTGGTATTTATCTTTGATATAATACTTGCCAGACTACATGAGAAAGATCTATTTAAAATTTGGATGTAGGTATTTAGGAGGAGTAAAGATGAATGAACAAAATTGATTAGTGGCTCTCAAACCAGGGTGCTTTTCTCCCCAGGGAATATTTGGCAATGTCTGAAGATGTTTTTGGTTCTCTTAACTAGGGGAATGCTACTGGCATCTAGTGGGTAGAAGCCAGGGATGTTGTTAAATATCCTACTCTGCACAGGGCAACCCCCTCACAACAAATAATTATCCAACCCAAAATGTTATTTGTGCTGACACTGAGAAAACCTGAACTACATTTTAGAATCTCCCTTCTTCAAAATCTAATAAAACAAAAAATAAAAATAAAAAATAAAACAAAAAGGCCAACATTTTATTAGCAGCAACCAAATATAAAAGGGCCTGCCATAAATTTTGAAGACTGATAGTCAAAATAAGAAACAAAGTTATATGTGATTGATGGTCATTCCCAACTCTACCCCTACCTCCAGTAAGAGGTTGTAGGGAAATAGTTTACAAAATCCTAAACACTTACCAGAAATACACTCCAAAATGGCAAAAAGTAGAGCCGAGGAATGAATAAGCAACAGAGGGAAAAGTCAACAAAAAAATTTCAAGAGTGAGTTTTAACCATCTCCATGCTTTGGGAAGGAGAAGGTCAGGTCACATTCTAGGGCTCAGAACAAAGAGAAATGAGAGGTCTGAGGTCGAATGATGTCCCCATACAAGGCAAAGGAATTTTATTCATAAGCAGTTGGGCAGACCCAAGAGTGAAATACTTGGTACTTCAAGAGAGCAGAGCCTAAAAGCCACATTGCCCCATTTGGCTCTCTGAATCACCACTTTTCCCTTCTCCTTCCCTCCACTCCAACAATATACAGCTTTCAAACTAGGGCTCAGGAGAAAAACAAACTTGGGTAAGGAGAGTGGAGTATTAAAAATATTTCCCATCAGCACCACATAGAAGTTCTCCCATATCAAGAAGAAACATGTATGCATATGTATTACAGCCTGACAAAAAGAAATACACACATACAGGGAATAAAAAGCAAGAAAGAACACAAAATGAAGAAATGAATAGGGCATACAAGTGGCAAAGAACCCATTCTGGAAGGATACATAACCCAATAAAAACTAAAGAAAATTCTCAACAACTTCATCATAATGAAGAACTTGAAAACAATACAACCTTATAATAAACAAGCTCAAAAGCAAGAAGCAGAATAAGATGAAAATGCAGTTTGTAGTGCTAAAGAAACTTAGAGCCTATATAACACAATGACTTAACCAATTAATTCATTTAAAATATCAAAAACAGGACAGATACTGGAGAAAACAGAATTATTGACAAAAAGAAAGGCTTCAGATGATCACAGTAAATGCAAAGGTAAAAGACAAATCAAAGCAATTAGAATACATACGAAGAACAAAAGAAAATTCAGTATTAAAAAAACTGGTGTCATGAAGTAGAGGATCTAATAATTTGACCAAAAAAAAGTATTCATGGTAATAAACAAGGAAAATGTTCTTAGAAGAACTAAGGGCATATTATAATTTAGGGAAAAATGATTATAAGTGACACTTAGATATACCTTGTTTATATTACTGAATTTCAAAAATAAAGAAGAAAACTCTCAGGCATTTTAGATTAAAAAAAAAAAAGTGCCTTCAAGGAGGGAGGGAGAAAAATCAGACTTTTCTACAGTAACACTAGATGTCCCAAAATAATAAAACAGTGACCACAAAGTTCTAATGAAAGTGTTCCCAAACAAGTTATTTTTCAGGAACGAAAGCAATAGACAGACATTCTCAAGCATTAAAGAAAACAGCAAGCATTGAAACTCAGAGACTATAATACTCACAAATTCTTCCTAATAAAAGGAGAAAACATTGGACAAAGAAATCCAGCCAATCAAACACTAGGAGATTATGGAACAACATTTACAAAGTTGAGGGGGAAAAAAGTGTGACTGATAAATTTTATACCTAGCCAAGTAATCCTTCAAGTAATATAAAAACAAAAGACAAATATTTTGAATCAATGAAGTGTATAAGAACCCAAAGAATGCATGCAGTACCTGTAACTTGAAAAGACTGCCTGACAATGAAATTCAATCAGGAGATGGACTAACTCGGGAATGGAGAAGCAACAGTACTGGTAATGAGCACCAAAACTATTAAAACATAGAACTAAAAGAATTATGACAGAACCATGACAACATAAAGAATATGATCAACACGAAACTAGGCCAATTAATATCCTACAATGGCCTCTAAGTGTTCAAGTGAAAGGAACAGTCACCTGTTTCTCACTTTAAATCAAGAGCTAGAAATGATTATGCTTAGTGAGGAAGTTATGTTGAAAGCCAAGATACGCCAAAAGCTAGGTCTCTTGAGCCAGTTAGCTAAGTTGTGAATGCAAAGGAAAAGTTCTTGAAGGAAATTAAAAGTGCTACTCCAGTAAACACACAAATGATAATAAAACAGCCTTATTGCTGATATGAAGTGGTCTGGATAGATGATCAAACAAGCCACAATGTTCCCTTAAGCCAAAGCCTAATTCAGAGCAACCCTAACTCTCTTCAGTTCTATGAAGGCTGAGAGAGGTGAGGAAGCTAGAGAAGAAAAGTTGGAAGGTAGCAGAGGTTGGTTCACAAGATTTAAAGAAAGAAGCCATCTCCATAACATAAAAGTGCAAGGGAAAGCAGCAAATGCTGATATAGAAGCTGTAGTAAACTACCTAGAAGATGTAGCTAACATCATTCATGAAAGTAGCTACACTAAGCAACAGACTTATTTTTTATTTATTTATTTATTTATTTTGAGATGGAGTCTCGCTCTGTCACCCAGGCTGGAGTGCAATGTGCAATCTCAGCTCACTGCCACCTCCGCCTCCCGGGTTCAAGCCATTCTCCTGCCTCAGCCTCCCAAGTAACTGGGATTACAGGCTCCCACCACCAAGCCAGGCTAATTTTTGGTATTTTTAGTCGAGATGGGGTTTCACTATGTTGGCCAGGCTGGTCTTAAACTCCTGAACTCGTGATCTGCCCATCTCGGCCTCCCAAAGTGCTGAGATTACAGGCATGAGCCACCGAGCCCGGCCAGCAACAGATTTTTAATGGAGATGAAATGGCCTCCTTTTGGAAGATGCCATTTAGGACTTTCATAGCTATAGAGAAGTCAATGCCTGGCTTCAAAGATTCAAAGGACAGGCTGACTCTCTTGTTAGAGGCTAAAGCAGCTGGTGACTTCAAGTTGAAGCCAATAATCATTTACCATCCTGAAAATTCTAGGGCCATTAAGAATTATGCTAAATCTCCTCTGCCTGTTTTCTATAAATAATAAAGCCTAGATGACAGCACATCTGTTTACAGCATGGTTTATTTTAAGCCCACCATTGAGATCTACTGCTTAGAAAAAAAAAGATTCCTTCAAAATATTATTGCTCATTGACAACACACCTGATCACCCAAGAGCTGTGATGGAGATGTACAAGGAGATTAATGTTGTTTTCATGCCTGCTAACACAACATCCATTCTGCAGCCCACTGATCAAGGAGTAACTTTGACTTTTAAGTCTTATTTAAGAAATATATTTCATAAGGCTATAGCTACCATAGATAGTGATTCCTCTGATGGATCTAGGCAAAGTAAATTGAAAACCTTCTGGAAAGGATTCATCATTCTAGATGCCATTAAGAACATTCGTGATTCATGGGAGATCAAAGTATCAACATGAATAGGAGTTTGAAAGATGATTCCAGCCCTCACAGATGACTTTGAGGGATTTCAGACTTCAACGGAGGAAATAACTGCAGATATGGTGGAAACAGTAAGAGAACTAGAATTAGAAGGGGAGTCTGAAGATGTGACTCAATTCCTGCAATCTCATAAGAAAACTTTAACTAATGAGAAGTTGTTTCTTATGGACGGGAAAAGAACGTGGTTTCTTGAGATGGAATCTACTCCTGGTGAAGATGCTATGAACACTGTCAAAATGACAACAAAGGATTTAAAATATGACAGAAGCTTAATTGATAAAGCAGGGTTTGAGAGGACTGACTCCAATTTTGAAAGAAGTCATACTGTGGGTAAAATGCTATCAAATAGCATCATGTGCTATAGAGACATATTTTATGAAAGGGAGAGTCAACTAATGCAGCAAACTTCATTATTATCTTATGAAATTGCGATAGCCACCCCAACCTTCAGTAACTACTACCCTGATTGGTCAGCACCCATCAACATTGTGGCAAGACCCTCTACCAGCAAAAAGATTATGACTTGCTGAAAGCTGAGATGATCGTTAGCATTTTTTAGCAATAAATATTTTTAATTAAGGTATGTATGTTTTTTAGACAATTCTATTACACATTTTATAGACTACAGTATAGTATAAACACAGCTTTTTTTTTTTTTTTTTTTTTTTAAGAAATGGGGTCTCATGCTGTCATCCAGGCTGGAGTGCAGTGGTGCAATCATGACTCACTGCAGCCTCAAACTCCTGAGCTCAAGTGATCCAAGTAGCTGGGACTACAGGCCTGTCACATCACACCCGGCCAAAACGCATAACTTTTATATGCAATGGGAAACAAAAAAATGTGTGTGACTCACTCTATTGTGATATTCAGTTTACTGCAGTGATATGGAACTAAGCCCACAATATCCCTGCGGTATGGCTGTACAGTATAAGAATCACCTGAAGGGCTTATTAAAAACAGCTTGCTTGACCCCCTCCCTTAGAGATTCCGATTCAGTAGATCTGGGTTGGTCAAGAATTTGCATTTCTAACAAGCTCCCAGCTGAGGCTGAGGCTGCCATTCAACATACTACCAAGTAGCACTGGCATAGAGAGATCCCTGGAATAAAATTTACCTACTTGTGTGTGTGTGTATGAATGTGTGTGTGTGTGTGTGCGTGTGCATGTGCGTGTGTGTGTATACAGTCTTGCTCTGTTGCCTGGGCTGGAGTGCAGTGGCGTGATCTCGGCTCACCATAACCTCCGCCTCCCAGCTTTCAAGCGATTCTCATGCCTTAGCCTCCTGAGTAGCTGGGATTATGGGGTGCGCCACAACGCCTGGCTAGTTTTTGAATTTTCAGTAGAGACTGGATTTCACCATGTTGGCTAGGCTGGTCTTGAACTCCTGGCCTCAAGGGATCCACCTGCCTCAGCCTCCCAAAGTGCTGGGATTACAGGCATGAGCCACCATGCCCAGCCCTTACTTGTATATCACAATAGTGAGATGATTACTTTTCAACTTTCTTCTTTGTATTTTTTAGGTATTTAAATTTTTTTACAATGAATGTTCCATCTTTACCCAAACAATAAAATCTTTATTGTAAAGAAAGTTAGAAGCAAGAAACATTAACATTTTTTATAACTACAATTTGTATAAAAGCTTTCTCTGTGATCTTTAGTTTTTCTTTCTTCCTCTGAAAAGCTGAATCGTGTTTAATTAAACTCTCAAAAGTATCAAGTTTTTGTCTATAAAATGGCAAAACTGGCTATGATGAAATAAACTGATATTTGCTATTTCTAATAAAAGCATACAATATATTCTTTCTTACCAGATTCAAATAATATTTAACGCCAACATATTAGTCCAAGTCCTATCATCAGTCAGATTTATCAGAAAGGTATGAAAACCCATGCCTACTATAAGGACCAAAATAGCCTAATTCAATACTACTTTGAAAACATGGGGATGATGTTACTACGTAATTGTTTTAAGTACAATAACCACTGATCACATTTGAACTCTCAGGATACTTCAATATTTCTTTTGGACAACTATGACCTGTTTAGTAAATTACCCCCAAATACTTTAATATAGTTTTACAAATCGCCCCAATGCCAGAGACCCAGATCAAAAAGAAAATAATGGTATGGGTCAGATTCACAGAATAAGCACTAACTTTTATGCAAACTGAAAATAAAGATTTTATCTAAAAGTTATTTGGGGAAAATAAGCAGACTTTATCAAGAATTAGAGCTTGGTAAGAAGGTAACAGAAACCCATTGTGAGAAACAGGTTGACTCTGTGTAGCTTTCCATAGTAGAGTTTAGAGTTTCTTGTCATGATTACCTTATCAATGCAGTATAATAACTACTTACACAGCACTTACATTGTATTAGGTATTATAAGTAATCTACAGATGATTTAAAGTATATGGGAGGATGTGCATAGGTTATAGGCAAATACTACACCATTTTATGTAAGGGACTTGAACATTAATAGATTTTGGTATCCTCAGAGGTTCTGGAACTAATACGCCATGGATGCCAAGGGACAACTGTACTTAGAGGTAGAACGTCTCTGCTCTTCCTACATGTCCTTATTTTTAACAACTTCTGTTCTTACAAATAATCCTAAGTCAATCAATAAAACTTCAAATTCTATTAACAGCTTAAAAGCACCAAGAAATACTCTGATCATTCATTCAACTGCCAAAGAAAATGACAACCAAGTACTTTTCCTCTTTTAAACCAAAAAAAGTTTTTGGTTTAATACTAACAAAAGCTTTAATACTCATTTTAGATATTCCTCTAATACATCTATTTACAATATATCACAGAACTATATTCTGGTTATTAATAATCTCACTTCTTACCAGGGTCTGCTAATCCAGTGGTCTCTAACAGTATGTCATCAAATTTCCCCTTCTTTTGCATCAAATTCTCAATAGCTCTAAGGCCATTGTCCCTGGAGAATACCAAAACATAATTTACAGTTAATTACCTAAATATTTTGAAGTGATTATTATAAACACTTTAAAATGTATTCAACAACCCGAGACAAAAGTATCCTTAGGAATGTGAAAATTTAACTCACTTCTAACCTTCTAACAAAATGTCTGTCCCATATTTACCAGTGAGAAAACAATAGATGCATATATATAATAGGTAAAAAGAAATCATATACATAATAATACTTTATTAAAATTAAAAGCAGAGGAAACTTTATCTGACCAAGTATCTTTTTATAGCTTTATGAAATTTTTAAAAACCAACATACAAAATAATGATAAAATTTATTAACTATAGTAGTTTAATATAATAGCTAAAGGGACACTGATATTAAACACCATATAATTCTATTTTACATTAGGATGCAAGGTTTTAAATTCCTTTTTTCTTATTTTATCAAAAGTGAAGGAAAATCCTTAATAGATTACATTTTGGTTGTTCAAGAAAGTCTGTTATAATTTTATCCTTGCCAAAACATTTGACACAAAGTCAAATACCTAAGGGAGTAAATGATGCCGAAGAGATTTAATTCACTAGAATACACAAAATTAACAATACAAGTAGTCATTTTTATAATTCATTCAACAAATATTTGAGTGCTACTATGTGTTGGGTAACTCTTCTAGGGTCTATGGTAGACTAGTGATCACTGTCCTTGGAAACTTAACTACTAGAACATAATGTAAGGTTTTTCTTTTTTGATAGTCATTTTTTTTTTTATAAGGTTGAACACTTAGAAGTATGACCAATGACAGATTAAATTCAGAATAATCATTTTTTACATATGAGACTTTCATGCACTAGAGATTAAATAAGCCCTGACATCAAAAGCAATAAAAACTCAATAAAAGGACCAAAACATTAGAGCAGATAGAAAAGACAGCAAGAAACACTTTAAGAAAATGCTTCCTAATAAGTTTATTTTCTATTTGTTTGAAAATACAATGAAGCAAACTGTGTAAATTCAGTTAAATTACTCAAGAAAATTAAAGCTGGAAATATAATCAATAAACATTTCTAGTAAACCATGTACACAGTAAACACATTCCTCACTTCACTGAACAGCAGAGGCAACCGTTTCTAAGTTCCAGCCACTCTTCATAGAGCTCTCCACCTTGGCTGACAGCTAAGGATTTCTCCAGCGCACTTCCTAGAATAAATAACAAACAATAAATAAACAAACTCTTTAGCTTATGTCCATTAGCCAACAAAAAACAAAGATGAGGATAACTCAATAATGGAGATCTTAAAGCAGAAACTTATATTTTATAACTTATATTCTTTCACTTTATTCATGCAGCCTTGATACCTAAATTACAGTACACTACATTATTTTAGCTTTTATTTAAGATGTCTTAAGCCCTGAAAAAGACACATCCTAAACTGATAAACATACCTACTTCCTCCTTAGGCCTCTTACTTGGCCACCCCCATTTCTTAATGAAGGCATTTTTTTCTTGTCCAGGGTAAACTTTCTAAATCGACTAGTATGTTTTATATACTGGATTCTGTATGCCCTTCAACCTCTTAAGAGACTGCCTTATCTATCTTTTTCTTTTCATTCTTCTTCTAAATTGTTTCTGTTAGACAAACTGCTGAATATTCCCAATGAGTAAAAACCCTAGTTCATCCTGAGGAAGGTTTTTGGCCAGTGTACCATGTGCTCATTTAAAAATTAAATTTATAGGGAGGCCAAGGCGGGCGGATAACGAGGTCAGGAGATCGAGACCACCCTCGCTAACACAATGAAACCTCATCTCTACTAAAATTACAAAAAATTAGCCAGGTGTGGTAGCGGGCGCCTGTAGTCCCAGCTACTCAGGCGGCTGAGGCAGGAGAATGGCGTGAACCCGGGAGGCGGAGGTTGCAGTGACCCGAGACTGTGCCACTGCACTCCAGCCTGGGCAACACAGCGAGACTCCATCTCAAAAAAAAAAAACCTAAACTTTTAGTCAAATTCACATATTTTCCTAGCAATACTTACTTAAGAAAGAATAAACTATATTTGAAATGCTTGTTATCTATAAGAATTATTTTAAATGTTTTACTTTTCCCCTAATAAAGAAATATACCAAACGGTGAAGTTCTAAAAGTCCACTAAGCAAATGAGCTCCCATAAAATCGAGTAGTTTTACACTTACATATTTTTTATATTTCAGCTAGGTATTAATAAAGAGCTTCTAAAGAGGTTGCTACAGAATTCGGACTATATACAGAACATTAATGAAACATGAAGAAAAGTATTGAGAATGCTGTGAAAAATAAAATTGTGAAAATGATCCAGGAAAAAATAAAGAAAATAGTAAGAATAAATGTAATCAGTGTGCAATAGGTTATTTAATAAGATGATGAAAAAAACAGTCTGTTATTAGAAATCTCAGGATTTTTGCCTAAAAAGCACTTTTCTCTTTAGTTTATTAAAATCAGAAATCGAATATAACTGGAATATAACTGGCTTCCCATCCTGTTCATAAAACCTAGCTCTTTTACTTTTTACAACTGAAAAAAATAGTACATTTTAAAAGAAATCGTCTAATAGATATTGTTTTTTGGCTAGAAGTGAGCTTTGATTACAATTCATACTTATGAAGAAAAACTCCTATAAAGATAACAGAAGTACTGTGTCTAGAGCTATTTTTTTTTTTACTACAGTTTAATATTTGAGTTGAGAAGTTAAGCACACTTATTTTCACAGATAAAATACATGAGGATAAAGACCATATGTTTACTTTCTTTTTAAAATATTGAGTTTTAACTGCATTGCAGATAATAAACATTAAACAAAGTTAACTAATAACAGAAGCATTTTCAAATATTTTTCATGAGTTGCAATAGAGTCCATACAAAACTGCCTTTCTAATTCCTAAAAAAGACATTTTTTGGCCAGGCATGGTGCCTCACGCCTGTAATCCCAGCAACTTTGGGAGGCCGAGGCGGGTGGATCATAAGGCCAGGAGCTCAAGACCATCCTGGCCAACACGGTGAAACCCTGTCTCTACTAAAAATACAAAAATTATCTGGGCATGGTGGCGCATGCCTGTAGTCCCAGCTACTCGGGAGGCTGAGGCAGGAGAATCACTTTAACCCGGGAGACAGAGGTGGCAGTGAGCTGAGATTGCACCACTGCACTCCAGCCTGGCAACAGAGAGAGACTCCATCTCAAAAAAAATAAAATAAAATAAAAAATAAACGTTTTTTCATATGTCTAGATTTTTACTTCTGGAGTCATTTATTTCATGTAAAAATGTAGTTTAATTCTGTTAATAAGAATTCCAAAGTTATACAAAATAAAATTTTATTAAAACTAATTTCAGTATCTCAACCCATATAAATCTTAACAGAAATTAATCTAATTTTTCTAAAGCTATCCACATCAATACAATACCTTGCATTTTCATTTTTAAATATGGAATATCAATTCACCAGAGGAATAAACAGTCACACAAAATCTTGCAACATGACATTTATTGAACTTTACTTACCTTCCCCAGATTCATTTAAAATGACCGCTACTCTTTTACTATGTTGCTCTGTCAAAATATAGTTCAGAAGTGTTGTCTTCCCAGCACCTATAAAACATATTTTTTGTAAATAAAAAAATTCAAAATAATTTTAAAGATACAAAAAACATATAAAGAATCCTAACATTTTTGAGAATTTGCATGCTATTTTTCATATATTATTTTAGTATAGAATATCCTAGAGGATAAGATTAAAGCATCCTTTGAAACCTGTTGCAAAATACTTTATGTAGACATAAAATTTTATAAATATTTACAAACACTCCTACAAGTTGAAACAGTTTCTTCAACCTAGCCTAACCTTCCCTAAAATTGACACACAATCTTTTATTTATAGTGACCTTTTATTTCAACATTAACGAGACGCAACTTCAGGCTGACTATATGGCTACTTATAGTATGCTTTAAACAATCTATAAAAGTTTTTATGAAATGGGGAATAGAGCCAGGTAGTGTCAACAATGAACAGAATGTTCAGTTAAGATAAATTCATAAAGCTATACCAACTTTATCCAGCAGGTGGCATATGAAACCCAATATGTCAATCTCCAGTAGAAAAAAAAGTCTTGTGAACCGTACACACTAAAATTCATAGAGGAAAAAAAGAAAATCCTAACTGCATAGTATTGTAGTTCAATTGTATGACTATATCATTTCTTTATCTTTTTTTTGTTGGACATTTGGTTTGTTTCCAGTGTTTTACTATTACAGTGCTGCTAAAAACTTTTACATGTAGGCTATACATGTCTTCTGAAATAAAGTTTTCTAGTATATAACTAGATCTTCCTACAACTAGGAAGATTTTACGGAGTATTAGGGTATTAATATCTTTTAGGTCATATTCCTTTCAAAGCTTTTTAAGAGATGAAGGCTTATATTTAGAGTACTTTAGGAAGCTCAACATCACAAAAATATGAAGTATAGTATGGAAGAGAGAGACTTAGGGCAATGAGGAAGATCTTAAAACCAGTCCAAGCCTGAGACAGAGGCCCTGAACATGAGTGTTTCGCAGGGCAGTGATGTGAAAACTGAAAGGAAAGGGTGAATGTAAGAAATCTTCTAAGAGAAGATTTACTAGGGCTTTTTAACCATATTATGAAAAAAAAAACACTTTAAGACATAGTTCATTCATTCAAAGGTTTCTAATACGTTACAGATTTATGCTGGGCCTTGGTGAAAAAGTGAACAAGATAGTCTCTGCCTTCATAGAGCTTAGAAATATTAAGGGAAGGGGGGAATGGAGGGGAATTCAGTGAATAAGGAGGCAATTATGTCACAGGGTGACATATTCAATAGGAGATGCACAAAATGCTATGGAGAACCTAAGAGGGACATCTAGCCAGAGGAGTCACAGTAAAAAAGTACCTATTCCAAGGGGCTAAAACACTTGGCACCTTTGAAGTAACCTTAGTTTATTGTGCGGGGCCAATTTGGCAGGCTGGAAAGGTTGGCAAGATCCAGATCCTACAGGTCCTTGTAATTCATGTTAAGGAATTTGAATTTTAACCCATAGGGACGCCACTGAAAGGTGTGACGCAGTCAGATTGACATTTATAAAGATCATTAAGGCTAACATGCAACTAATAAATTAAAGGGCAGCAAGACTCCAGATTAGTCAGGAGGCTTTTAGAGTATTCCAAATGGTTGGGATCACAGAAGCAGGATTTGGGGGGATGGTAACAGACGAAGTTTCAGACATGTTAAGTTTTAAGTTGTAGGACATCAAAATAGAAATTACACAGGTGTGTAGCTAAAGATGGACAAAGGGGGAAGGAGGAGGGAGCCTTAAAAAGAAGCCAGAGAAGCAGGTGGAAAAATCAGAAGAAAAATGTAATAGAAGCCAAAGGAACAGTGTTTCAAAAAGGGAAAATGGTCAGGGATAGGAGTGAAACTATCCCTAGATTCAGCAACAAGGTTGCTGGTATTAATTCTCACTCCTGAGCTTCAGATCATTTTCTCCAATGATCTACTGACCTACCAGTGAGCAACACGGGAAAGGCCCGAGGGGCACGTTTGAAATACATTGTTTTGGACAAGAAATTTGTTCATCTTCTCAGTAGAGCAGCCTCTGAATAACTGTGGGGAAACGCCAAAAATAAATTCCTTTATAAAATTACTTCCGAGCAAAAAACGGGAATAAACTTACAGTCTACAAAGTTTTTAAAAAAACAAAAGCAGTTATTTCTTATTTTTACATAAAAGGTCACGAAGTGGCCCAAGTCTGTACCTGTCTCTAGCAACAACTAGGAATATTATTTCCCGGAAACAGTATTATTTTATTTACATTTCTTAACTTTTTCCAAACTTCTAATACAGTCATATATTTGTTCTAGCCCTTCTATTTAACTGTAAGGTTTAAAAATATATTTCTCAAACTTTTCCAGTAAGAAACTTCTAGTGTAAGTGCATAAACCGCCCTTCACGAAACTACCAAGTTCACAAACTTGTGGTTTCGAGTATCCCTGTACACTCTAAACGTTCTTAGTTTGAGAAATAGTCTTGGAGGACAGAGATTTTATTCTTACTTCCTACGCAGTGGTTTACAAACAGACCTCAAAAGAAAAGTGTTTAAGATAGGAGCACTTCCTGCCAACTGGCTGGAGGACTTTGGCTCCTGGGGAAGGGGAATCTGCTGACGAAAGCCCCACGTGTCGGGCATTTTACAGACGGGACATCCTTTAATGGCAATAGGTAGGTTGTTCCGGCCCTATTTCACAGGTGACAGGTATTTTTCCATTTTCAGGTGAGGTAGATGAGCGTCAGGAAGGTAAGATAACTTGGTAAGAGGTCACAGAGACAATTAGGGGGGCGTGTCTTAGCTTCAAAGCCTTGTTTCAAAGGCTAACTTTCCATCTCACTTGAGAAATGGGAATCTAACGCAGAGGGGACCGGGCATCATTAACTCCCAAGATGAGAGGTAACCCATACGAGAAGCAAGTGACCCAGCCCCTACCTCAAAGACATTTGCTCTTGATCATGAGGCCCCAATGCCTCAGGAGAAGAGGCACCGGCAGCCCGCAAAATCCCATGACACCAGAGTTCACGGCATTTTGTGACTGGGATGGTTAGTTACCTAAATACCCGGTGATAATTGTGACTGGGATCTTGGCGCCGAGGCCAGACTTTTCCTCCTCCTCGCTTTGCGTCGTCTCAATGGGAACCAATTCAGGACAATCCTCCTCCGCAGGATCCTCTTCCTCATCCACAGATCCAACAGCCGGTAACATTCCGGCCTACAGCACGTCCCTACCTCAGCTGAACCGCTGGGACCAACACGCCGTACCGCAGCCGCGCACGCCCAGCACGCCACTCCCGGCCTGGCCGGGGCCTGACGTCATCACATCGCGACGCTAGCTGATCCCGCCCGGATTACCTGGGCTCTGGACGAGAACTGCCTCGTCCCTTAGCCACACCCCCCGGGGAGGTGGGCTCTCCCCGACGACAGCTGGACACGCCCCTGGGCGTGTTCTGTGAACCTGAGCGACGCTGCGGAGAGTCCTTAGGGCGCACTAACCACCTGTCTGAAGGTGTCACTGGCGCCTAGAGCCTTAATAAGCTACTGGCTGTAGGTAGAGCTGAGGCCAGCCTGCTGGAAATCTGGAGTGGGTAGCCTGACCTAACCAGTTCCCACAGGGCATAGATTTTATCAACTTGATTTTTTAGTCTCGTTAAAAAAAAAAGTTTTAATTCATAGGGGAAAGAATGGAAGGTTATAACATTACAATTTTAATTGTAATTTTTATACCTGAAGGATAACCAGTGACAATTTTTTCTTTTTTTATTATTACATATTATATATGTAATTCCAAATTTTTAGTATTCATGCATCACTTTTATTTACTTTTTTCTCATTATTTATTTGGACCTCAGGTAACCTAAGTTCATTAATCATATTTGCTGGTGCATGACACTCTCATCACTAATCCATAGATAGCCCTTCTTTCTAATATAAATTTATAGTGAACTCCTTTGACCTCATTCCTAACATAAAAGCATTACCAGTAAGCTACACGTACCTATGTGCACCGCCCCCGCTTCCAATCCACAGCCTGCCCCATAAGATAGTAACAACAGTCATGAATTGGTTCTGGATTGCTGATCATTCCCTGTTTTCTTTTTAGTTTTATCACATATCCCACGTATGTACTTAGAGAATATGTTGTTTAATTTTGGGTGTTTTTGAGCTTCATAAAATTATCCATATAATATATAAACTCCTGAGGCTTGCTATATTTTTCAGCATCACTGCTGTCTTGTATTCTATTGTGTGGCTACACGGCAATTTATTCATTTCCTCTCAATTGTTCCAGGTTTTGCTCTTATGAACAGGGCTGCTATGAACATTTTTCCTGACATATGTGTGTGCAACTTCCTCTTGAGTGTCTGTGTAAGAGTTGAATTGCTGGGTCCTAGATTATTCAAATGTTTTACTTCACAAGAAAATGCACAATTATTTTTCAAAATGTTTGTACAAATTGATACATTTTCCCAGCAAATTATAAGAGATCTCATTGGTCTGTATGTCAATATTATCAGGCATGCATTTTTCACCAATCAATTGAGTACAAAAGAAGACTTCATTGTGATCTTCATTTGCATTTCCTTGATTACTAACAAGGTTGAGAATCTTTTCATGTGTTTTGGCAATATGTAATTCTTAGAATGACCCTGTAGAGTGTTATCCCTCTTTCAAACATGAGGCACCAAGAGTTAAGTTACTTGTCCAGGTTAGGTCATAAAAATCTATCTGATGCACAAGTAGAATGTTTTACTACTATCCTGATGCCAAATAAAAGGTTGACTTTTCCTTCCTTCTCTGAAATTCCCCATAAAATATACTGTGTGTATTCCATTAGTTCTACTGATAAGTACATATAACTTTAAAGTATTTATCACGCCTTTTGCAGAACACAGTTAAGACAGAGGGTTTATATTTGTGCAAATGAGTATATTATATTCACACATACACTCGGTCTGAGAAATCAGGTCTTGAATGTTTTGCCAGCTTTGACAATGTAACCATGAACCAGCTGAGGAAGAAATAAGGCAAATACCTTAGGCGTGGTGGTTCAGTTCACTGTATTCTGCCAAAGGAGAGAAGCTGTGATGGGTAGCCCAAAATAGATAGCTTACGCCCTAAACACAATGGTTCATAAGCTTTTTCGTTTCAGGAATGCTATGAAGTATTGATTTTTTTGGCAACCTAAGGGAAGGAGTAACATTGCACCCACAGGCATCACACTATTTGCTTGATGTCCCTTCAGCACTGCATTACTGCCTGAATAGCAGCTATTACAGCCCTCACCATCTTCTTTGACATATTTTTAAAAGTACATTCTTGTGGGTTCCCAATATGGCACTGGCTGAATGTTATACTAAAATCCCTCTTTCTGTTTTTTGAGACAGGGTCTCACTCTGTCGCCCAGCATGGATTGCATTGGCACGATCACAGCTCACTGCAGTCCTAAACTCCTGGGCTCAAGTGATCCTCCCATCTCAGCCTCCCAAGTAGCTGGGACTCCAGTCATATGCCATTACATCTGGCTAATTTTTCTTTTTCTTTTTGGTAGAGACAGGGTCTCACTATGTTGTCCAGTCTGGTCTAAAGTCTCATCTCTAACAATGAACAACCTGTAACCTATGAGGCCAGCTCAGTCAAGTTGACCAAATAGCATTGTTGTAACAGTATGTAGCCTCAATGAGAGCAAAATAAGTTTTACACATTGGCCAAAAATTAAATGCACCACAAATATCTATCAACTGATAGACAACCAAAATGTGACAAATGGATAAACAAAATATGATCTATCCGTACAATGGAAAATTATTTGGCAATAAACAGGAAAAAGGACTGATACCTGCTACAAAATGAATCAATCTTGAAAACATTATGGTAAGTGAAAAAAGCTATTCACAAAAGACCACATGTTGTATGATTCCATTTATATAAAATAACCAAAATAGGCAAATCTATAGAGACAGAAAGTACATTAATGGTTCCCAGGAGTAGAGGACTGGGGAGAGACTACAGTGGTTTTTGGGCGGTGATGAAAATGTTCTAAAATTGATTATGGTGATGGTAGTACAACTCTGATTATACTGAAAACCATTGACTTGTACACTTTAAATTGGTGAATTGTATCATATGTGAAATTTATCTCAATAAAGCTGCTATTCTTAAAAGAAATAAACACCTATCTGTGCATCAAAATGGGGTGCCTGTGTGCATTTGTAGAGAAACACTGTCTTCAGCAGTTTCAAGTTCTGGCCTTAGGCACAAGTATAAAGATTACAGCTTGATAAAATTTTTCCTTTAGTCTGTTCCATATTCCTCTTCAGTTAAATTTTTATCTATGGATTCTGTGGAGTCCTGTCATTTTATTTTCTCAGATAGAGTTGTAATTTCAGTTCTCCCAAAATAGCTGGGCTTGACTTTTTATTTTTATTTCTTTTTTCTTTTTGAGATGGAGTCTTGCTCTGTTGCCGAGGCTGGAGTGCAGTGGCACGATCTTGGCTCACTGCAACCTCTGTCTCCGGGTTCAAGCGATTCTCCTGCCTCAGCTTCCTGAGTAGCTGGGATTACAGGTATGCACCACCACGCCCAGCTAATTTTTGTATTTTTAGTAGAGACGAGGTTTCACCACGTTAGCCAGGCTGGTCTTGAACTCCTGACCTCCTGATCCATCCACCTCAGCCTCCTAAAGAGCTGGGATTACAGGCGTGAGCCACTGTGCCGGGCTTTTTTTTTTTTTTTAACTTATAAGAGGGTTAAATTGTTAAATTGTTAAATTGAAAATGCCTTTTTAAATAAGTATGAAATTTCTTAATTATAATATTTTAGAATCTATTGCAGTTTCTGATGTAACTTAAAAATTCCTCCTCATTTAGCTTTGCTATTTTGTCTCATTTACTTTAGGGTAAAACAACAACAACAACAACAATAGTAATGTTTTGAGCCCCTAAGCATCTGATAGGCACTGTGTTAAGCACATTAAATGCATTATCCCATTTAACTCTCCAAGGTAAATACTATTTGTGTGCCCATTTTATAGATGAGGAAATTGAGGCTTAGAAAAGATAAATACCTTGCTCAAAGTCATACAATCAGTAAATGGCAGCCCTTGGGCTCAATCCAAACCTGCCTGACACTAAATCTCCTGCTCTTTTAAACCAGAAGATCTGCAAACTCTTCTGTAAAACTAGATGATAAATATCTTAGTCTTTACAGATCAAAAAGCAAATTTGAGGACATTGTGTAGGTACTTATATAATAAGAGAGAGAGCAAATGTCTACAAGTTTGAAATTTGAATTTCATGTATTAAACAAAATTATGAGAGGCCATTGTTTTGGACTGAGCTCCTGCACTAATCCCAAGCAGACCAGACCAAACCAAAATGGAGTCGCTCATGCTAAGCACCACAAAATCAAACTAAAACTTTAAAAAACAGGTCCCAAAATAGACGAGTTTTTTTTTTCTTCTCCTGAAGACAGAAGATTCCAGTATAATAAGGAAGTCCCCTCTGCTCTATCCCTTACAGAAAAGTAACCCAAAGTAACAACAGATTACTTACAAAAAAGCAATCTCAGCCAGACACAGTGGCTCATGCCTGTAATCCCAGCGCTTTGGAAAGCCAGGGCGGGTGGATCACCTGAGGTCAGGAGCTTGAGATCAGCTTGGCCAACGTGGCAAAACCCCATCTATACTAAAAATACAAAAATTAGCTGGGTGTGGTGGCACACGCCTGTAGTCCCAGCTACTTGGGAGGTTGAGGCAGAAGAATTGCTTGAACCCGAAAGGTGAGGTTGCAGTGAGCCAAGATTGTGCCACTGCACTCCATCCTGGGTGACAAAAAAATAAAAAAGTAATCTGATGTTAACCAATCAGTTTTTTTTTCTATACTGTTTCCTTGTTCCCACCTTACAAAATCCAGTGTTCTGCTATTTTCCAATGGGATTAGAGACCAAATAACTCTATTTATGATGATAAAAAGTGATGTCAATGCCTAAAGTTTTGGGCAACCTCAAAATTAATCATCCTCTCAAAATTGACAGGTTGACCAAAAGGAGGAATTGTTAAATTCATTGTGGCCTAAAGCTGCCTCCTTACATATTTTAAGTTTACCCTAAAGGTTTCCCAGTACATAAAAAACTATATTTCAACTTGATATGTAAAACTTGATATGTAACCTACTCTTGTAACAAGTAGTGAGTCTCAGCCAATCACAGCAGCTGAACTTCAGCCAACCACAGGCAGCCAACTCTTCAAACCAGGTTCAAATAAGGCAAATGCTCAGCTGTAACCAACCCTACTCTGGTTCTGGGGGCTGCCTAATTCACAGATCATTCTTTACTCAATTAAACTCTAAAGTTTTCCTTTCAACATGTATAATTTTCACATCACGAAATAATAATCTTCTTTAATTTTTTTTCCAATGTATTAAAAATGTAAAAACCATTTGCAGGCTACACAATAAATGGTAGCAGGCTATAGATTCCCAACTCCTGATCTAAGCTAATATAATATACTGTTTTCTTAAGCAGAGTTAATGAAATTTTGAGAAATTGGATCCTCCTTGCTCTTTTAAACTCAGTTTGTAAATCACTCACCATTAAAACAATCCTGGACCCTCAAAGGGTTAGGTACCACTGTGCCAATTACCACAGTGCTAATATTCAGAGGAAGATCTGAAGCTGAGAAGCTTAAACTTTTTTCCCAAGGTCACTAATACCTGGCCTGGGAAAGACCTAATTAAGGTGAAACTTGAGTCTTTGCATTGTAGTAGGAGTCCTCCTAGGTGGGAGCAGAGCAGAGCAGATAAGCTCTTAAACTGTCTGGATTTCAGCAGCTCAGCTTTCTGACAATAACCTTGCCATATGTCCTTTGGCACAATTCCCTACTAATTCCCTACTACTCCCCTTTGCTTGGTTCTTCTCTCTTGAATAGTTATGTTAATCACCATAAGAAAAAGAACTGTAGCTATATCCAAATAAGAAGAAAGCTAAAAATAATACCAACTTGGTTTTGTTTTTCGTTTTTTTCTTTCTCATTTTTGCAACTTCCTGCAAAGGAAACAACATACTAGTGGCCAGCAATAGCTACTGGTTTAGAGGAAAGGAAGCTGAGAGTTTCAAAATTAACCCAGTTCCTCTTATCTAGCTGTGGCAAGTAAATAAATAAAATATTTTTAAATGTTTAAAGTTTATCAGTTTATTTAACATTTTTCATTGGGTACACATGAACTTGTTGGGAACATATCTAAAAGGCCAGAGGTCAATGGCTTGTATTCTTGTGACTGCTTTGGTTAAGGTTGAATATCAATATTCAAGTGTCATATAGTCGTCTTTTAAGATATACAACCACTGTAAGGACAGGAAAGAATATTTCCTCTCCAGAATATTGAAGATGACTAGCAGGTGAAAAATGTACATTTCAATGTTTTTAGGGGCTGTGACATTAAAGGCTGTAAGTAACATTGTTTGAATTCATTATCTTTGGTGGTTAAACCATGCTATTAATAAGTCTTAGCTTACAGTTGAGTCACTTGTAAGTCAGCTTGCCATGAAATTAAAAAAAAAAAAAGAAAACACCATTCAAAGCCCTCAAGCTGACAAGTTGAGTGGTGCACCAATCTCTCTAAAAGAAACTATATTTTAGATACTATAGGAGTGGTGGAATGACAGGAGTGGAGGTTGGGCAAAATGAAAAAAAATGTTTTGCAATGATGTATGGTGTAATAGTTTAGGAGAGAGTCTAAATAATTTCTTCCATTGTCATTAGAAATTTTAAATGGACATTTGTGGCTACAAGTTTCACTTTCTAATTTTTATAGTGTTAGAGAAGCATATTCCAAAATCCATAGGCACCTGCTCATAATTCCTTACACGTAAGTAAAAGGCATGAAACAAATGATCCATCTCCATTCTTCCTTCCCCTTTCTATTCCCTCGAAGAGTGTTTAATCATACTTAATTGAAATACCATGCTACTGGCAAAGCCAGGTCTTTCTGGCTTCAAGACCAGGGTCTTTTGAGTCCTATAGCTCCGTCCTTCAGTCATTGTCTTAGACCTTTTGTGCTGCTATAACAAAATATCCAATACAGGGTAATTTATAAATAATAAAAATTTATTTCTCACAGTTCTAGAGGCTATGAAGTCCAAAATCAAGGTGCCAGGAAGTTTGTGTCTAGTGAGGGCTGGTCTCTGCTTCCAAGATGGTATCTCAAAAGCTGTGTCCTCCTGAGGGGATGAACAATGTGTGTTCACCTGGCAGAAGGAGACAGAAATAAGCTTTCACATTGTTTAAGTTTCTGTTTATGCCACTGAAACTAATCCTAACCAACTTATTTGATTAATTGTTTTTTAAATAATATAAGTAGGCTGTGCACAGTGGCTCATGCCTGTAATACAAGCACTTTGGGAGGCTGAGGGGAAAGGATCTCTTGAGGCCAGGAGTTCAAGGTCAACCTGGGCAACATAGCAAGACCCTGTTTCTACAAAAATTTTAAAACTTAGCTGGGCATGGTGGCATGCACCAGTAGTCCCAGCTACTCAGGAGGCTGAGGTGGGAGGATCACGCAAGCCTAGGAGTTTGAGGTTACAGTGAGCTATGATCACTGCACTGCACTCCAGCCTGGGTGAGAGAGAAAGACCTTGTTTCTTATTAAAATATATATACACACACATATATATATATGTGTGTGTATGTGTATATATATAGTATTTATATATAAATTTTGTATTATACCTGAATGTATTATAACTATAAAAAATTCAAACAGTAGAAAAGTATTAGGGTAAAACGTGGAGTATCTTTCACTAACCTCAATTTTACTTCCCTTCACCGATATTATATAAACACTGTGAGCAATTTAATAGACGTAGGTCCAGATTTTTTTGGTCCAATATTACCTTTGCCCCTGCCATGTTAGGTATTTTTCTGTAGGAGAAGCAAGATTCCCTCCTGAAAGAATATTCCTGTTTAGACTAAGTCTTATGTATATGAATATATGTATTTGCATACATGTGCATTCATAAAATTATAACAGAAAGATAGAGTACATTTGTATACATATGTGGCTTTTGTTTTTAATAAATAGGAACATACATAGGCTTTGTTCTGGAGCTTGCTTTCTTCACTTGACAATATGCACTGATACTCTTTCCTTCTCACTAGAATTAGAAATACATCATTCATCATTTTTTTTTTTTTTTGAGACAAAGTTTTGCTCATGGTGTCCAGGCTGGAGTACAATGGTGCAGTCTTGGCTCACTGCAACCTCTGCCTCCAAGGTTCAGGCAATTCTCTTGCCTCAGCCTCCCAAGTAGCTGGGATTACAGGCACCCGCCACAACGCCTGGCTAATTTTTGTATTTTTAGTACAGATGGGGTTTCACCACATTGGCCAGGCTGGTCTTGAACTCCTGACATCAGATAATCCACCTGCCTCGGCCTCCCAAAGTGCTGGGATTACAGGTGTGAGCCACCATGCCAGATCATACATCACTCATTTTTTAAACCACTTCATGTTATTCCATAATAGAGATGTAACTATTTCATCATATCTTCAAAAGGGACATAAAGATTGACTAACTACCTCTTCAAAACATGCTCGAAAGTAAATTCAACATATTATCAAGAAATATAAGAAAGTATGTTGATTAGCCATAGCTTGTATGTTTAATAATAAACTTTATTCTTATTCTCCTTTGATATTTTAGACTGGTTAGCTTCGCTTATTAAATTAGTTTACTTCAGTTATGGAAATATCAAATTCAATATATTTTAATATTAATTTCTTATTAACAGTTCTGGTTACTTATAATTAATATGATTCTACCCATATGCTTTATTTTTATAGCAAACTCATATTTTGGATTGTGTATTGCTATCCATAAATTTACACATGTACTTTCATAATTTAATTGTGGTTAATGAGTTTTTGGCAGCAGTATACAATACACAGATTAAAATTAATTCTGAACTGATGCTAGAAGAAAGATGAGTTCACATATTGCATCTTGATAATAGTGCTGGTTTGTGCCTAAAGTATAGCTTAGCTATTCATATCCCTGGGTAATACCACTGGTAGGCCGGGTACGGTGGCTCACATCTGTAATCCCAGCACTTTGGGAGACCAAGACAGGTGGATCACCTGAGGTCAGGAGTTTGAGAACAGCCTGACCGACATGGTGAAACCGTGTCCCTACTAATAATACAAAAATCTGCCGAGTGTGATAGCACACTCCTGTAATCCCAGCTACTCGGGAGGCTGAGGCAGGAGAATCGCTTGAACCTAGGAGATGGAGGTTGCAGTGAGCCAAGATCATGCCATTGCATTCCAGCCTGGGCAATAACAGAGAAACTCCATCTCCAAAGGAAAAAAAAAGAAAAAAGAAACTGTTAGTAAGCAGAATATTATTAATCTATATGCTTTTACATCATAATGGTTCCTTTTACTTCATGTATTTTTGTTCATGAAATTCTGTAAATCATACAAGCTACAGATGGTGACAGCAGTAGAAATATAAATTTTAGCACACTTGTGTATGCATTAATATGTTCAAAATATATAAAGAAATGGTATTTATATAAATAAATACATATAATTATTTGATCATAATCAGAGGTTAACATGGGTTACCTTTTGGGGAGAGGAAACAGCAGAGGTGATATGGTTGGCAGACAAAGAGGGTATGGAGAAGTAATCTCCCACTGTATTAGTCTGTTTTCACATTGCTGGGCAATTTGCAAAAGAAAGAGGTTTATTGGACTTACAGTTCCACATGGCTGGAGAGGCCTCACAATCATGGCAGAAGGTGAAAGGCATGTCTCACCTGGAAGCAGACAAGAGAAGAGAGCTTGTGCAGGGAAACTCCCCTTTTCAAAACCATCAGATCTCATGAGACTTGTTCACTATCACAAAAACAGCATGAGAAAGGCCTGCCCCCATGATTCAGTTACCTCCCACCGGGTCCCTCCCACAATACATGGGAATCCAAGATGAGATTTGGGTGGGGACACAGCCAAACCATACCATTCCACCCCAGCCCCTCCCAAATCTCATGTTCTCACATTTTAAAATGAGTCATGGCTTCTCAACCGTCTCCCAAAGTCTTAATTCATTTCAGCATTAATTCATTTCAGTGTTAACTCAAAAGTCCACAGTCCGAAGTCCAAAGTCTCATCTGAGACAAGGCAAGTCCCTTCCACCTATGGGCCTGTAAAATCAAAAGCGAGTTAGTTACTTCCTAGATATAATGGGGGTACAGCATTGGTAAATACAGCCATCCCAAATGGGAGAAATTGGCCAAAACAAAGGGGATACAGGCCCCATGAAAGTCTGAAATCCAGTGGGACAGTCAAATCTTAAAGCTCCAAAATGATCTCCTTTGCCTCCATGTCTCACATCCAGGTCATGCTGATGCAAGGGGTTGGTTCCTATGGTCTTGGGCAGCTCTGCCCCTGAGGTTTTGCAGGGTACAGCCTCTCTCCAGGTTGCTTTCACAGGCTGGCATTGAGTGTCTGTGGCTTTTCTAGGTGCACAGTGCAAGCCGTCCATGGATCTACCATTCCAGGGTCTAAAGAACAGTGGCCCTCTTCTCACTGCTCCACTAGATGGTGCCCCAGTAGGGACTCTGTTTGGGGGCTCCAATCTCACATTTCCCTTTCACACTGCCCTAGCAGAGGTTCTCCATGAGGGACCCACCCCTACAGCAAACTTCTACATCTTCTGATATCTAGGCAGAGTTTCCCAAACCTCAATTCTTGACTTCTGTGCACCCGCAGGCTCAAAGCCATGTGGAAGCTGCCAAGGCTTGGGGCTTGCACCCTCTGAAGCAACAGACAGAGCTGTACTTTGGCTCCTTTCATTCATGGCTGGGATGCAGGGTATGAAGTCCCTAGACTGCATACAGCAGAGGGACCCTGGGCCTAGCCCACAAAACCACTTTTTCCTCCTAAACCTCTGGGCCTGTGATGGGAGGGGTTGCCATGAAGAACTCTGACATGCCCTGGAGACACTTTCCCCATTGTCTTGGGGATTAACATTCAGCTCCTTGTTACTTATGCAAATTTCTGCAGCCAGCTTGAATTTCTCCTTAGAAAATGGGATTTTCTTTTCTAGCACATTGTCAAGCTGCAAATTTTCCAAACTTTTGTGCTCTGCTTCCCTTATAAAACTGAATACCTTTAACAGCAGCCAAGTCACCTCTTGAATGCTTTGCTGCTTAGAAATTTCTTCTGCCAGGTACCCTAAATCATCTCTCTCAAGTTAAAAGTTTCACATATATCTATGGCAGGGGCAAAATGCCCCTAGTATCTTTACTAAAACATAAGAAGAGTCACCATTGCTCCAGTTCCCAACAAGTTTCTTGTTTCCATCTAAGACCACCTCAGCCTGGACTTTATTGTCCATATCACTATCAGCATTTTGGGCAAAGTCATTCAACAGGTCTCTAGGAAGCTCCAAACTTTCCCACATATTCCTGTCTTCTGAGCCCTCAAAACTGTTCCAACCTCTGCTTGTTGCCCAGTTCCAAAGTTTCTTCCACATTTTCAGGTATCTTTTCAGCAGCGCCCCACTCTACTTGTACCAATTTACTGTATTGTTTCATTTTTATGCTGCTGATAAAGACATACCTGAGACTGGGCAATTTGCAAAAGAAAGAGGTTTATTGGACTTACGGTTCCACATGGCTGGGGAGGCCTCACAATCATGGCGGAAGGCAAAAGGCACATCTCACATGGAACCAGACAGGAGAAGAGAGATTATGCAGGGAAACTCACCTTTTTAAAACCATCAGATCTTGTGAGACTTTTTCACTATCCCGAGAACAGCACAGGAAAGACCTGCCCCCATAATTCAATTACCTCCCACCGGGTCCCCCCACAACACATGGGAATTCAAGATGAGATTTGGGTGGGGACACAGCCAAACCATATCACCCCCCCAAAAAAAAATCCCGTTTAGATTAAGTTTTATGTTTATGAATATATGTATATGCATACATGTGCATGCAGAAAATTATAACAGAAAGATAGAGTATTACATATGTAAATATGTATTTTTTATATGTACTGATTTGTAGAATAACAATTATAAGTGATATAAGGTGAAAGAAGCAATTTGTTCATAAGTATGTAGTATGATTCCATTTCAGTAAAAATTAACAAAAACATGCTTGTATGTGCATGGGCATATATTAATATGTGCTCATATATATATATGCTATACATATATATATATATATGTATGCTGATATATGTATGTGGAAGCAATATGTTTGTGATGATACACACCCTTGCAATAACATGAACTACCTCAGGGAGTACTGTAGATGACAGAGACAATGGGGGAAGAGGAGCAATGTTACCTTAAAAAAAAACTTTGCATCCTATTACTGGTTACAAGAGGCATATAAAATTATTTTTAAAATTTTAAATAAATATGTTAGCAACCTTTGTATGGATGGAAAATTTTAAATATGTATGAAAATACTGATTGCGTATACCTTTTGAAATTCTACTGATAGGGATTTATCCCACATATTTACATATACAAACATTTATGACATTCATAGCACTATTGTTTTAAAGGTGAGATGTTGGAAACATCCTAGCTATTTAACTATAGGGGAATGGCTAAATAAGTTTGGCTCACTCAAAGGATACCATGGAAGAGCAAGGCTTTGCATCGTATTTCGATATGAAACTGTTAGAAGCACCTTTATTTTGAATAGCCTCTAAGAAAAAGTTGGATAGAAAGAGTCTAAATGAAATATTCTGATTAATAACAGAACCTATACTATAAGATGGTGAATTTCTGATCAGAAAGGTGAAAAGTTCATCTACAGCTTAAGTGGACAAATTAAATTTTCTATAACATTCA
Source organism: Homo sapiens (assembly GCF_000001405.40). Taxonomy (NCBI): domain Eukaryota; kingdom Metazoa; phylum Chordata; class Mammalia; order Primates; family Hominidae; genus Homo; species Homo sapiens. Next base: position 41,201,919 of record NC_000009.12, read on the forward strand.
TATCTGATAGATTAAATAAACAGGTACAATTTCCTTAAGAAACATGCTTTATAAGTTTTATGGTCACTACATTCTTTAAAGTTAAGGGTTACATTCCTGGGAGATTAAATAAAAACAGCAAAGTTAACAGTTGATTTGCCTGAGGAGCTACTTGTTCTTCCTCAGTAAACATTGAAGAGAAAAGTAATGTAATATAACAGAAACAGAGCACGCATCTGATAAACATGTAACAGCAAAAGGGGGTGCACAGGCCTTTGCCCTACCTGGCTGGTGTCCTTTGTTCTTTGTACTTCTGAGGTTGCCAGAATGTAAATGTTCATTTCACTATCTTAAATGAGCAGAGTAATAACCAGAATCAGACTTTGAATTCTAAAAGCTCTTGGATCAAGAAGATTCTGTCTTTCCAACGTTTGCATCAAATAACATCGTGACCTATACTATCTTTTTTAATATTAAGTGAAGCTTAATCAAAATTTTAGGTTTAAAATACAAGAGTCATTAAAAAGATACATTGTTAGGTAGAAAAACATGCAGAATAGTATGCTGTTTCATTTGGAGGGGAGGAAAAGAAAATAGAAAATGCTTAACATAACAATTTTTATTTTTATTACTTCATGTAAGAACTTCTCTACAACCACTGATTTTCTTACTTGCTTTCTAAGCAATGTAGAATTTTCGTCACCACTTCACCATTAATTTCTTCTTATTAATCCATTGCTGTTTTCCCAGCTGAAAGAGAAAACTTCCTTTTAATTTTCTAACTCATTTTGAAACAATTTCAACTTACAAAAGTTACAAAAATAGTAGAGATTCCCATATACCCTTCACTGTACTTTCCTGAATGTTGATATCTTACTATCACTACCATGTTCAAAAGCAGGTAATGAGTGTCGATACGCTACCATTCACAAAACCAGAGACCTTATTCACATTTTGCCAGTTGTCCCACCGAAGACCTGTTTCTGGGCCAAGACCTAATCCAGAATCCCACATTGCATTCAGTTGTCACCTCTCAGTCTACTTTAATCAGAAGCATTGCTCAGTCTTTGTCTTCCAGGACCTTGACACTCTTGAGGAGTACTGGTCAGTTGTTTTGTAGAATGTTCCTTCACTTGGATTTGTCTTATGTTTCAGCATGGTTAAATTCAGGTTATATATTTTTGGCAGGGATACTACAAGTTGATGTTGCATCCTTCTCTGTGCATCACTTCAGGAGGCACATGACATCCACCTGTGCTTTTACTAGAATGTTAACTTTGTCAGCAGGGTTCTGCCACAATAAAATTACTGTTTCCCTGATGCAGTTAATAAGTACCTGATGGGGAGATACTTTGAAGCTATGTAAATGTCTTGTGTTTTCATCATACTCTAGCTCACAGTTGATCATCCATTATTCTTTTTCAAAATTACAGCTTTATTAAGGCACAACTTAGCCACTCATTTAAGTGTACAACTCAATGAGTTTTAATAACATTTATACAGTTGTGCCACAATCATCCCAATCCAGTTTTAGAACACTTTCACCATCCCAAAAAATTCCTTTGTGACTGTGTACAATTAATCTCTTTAGCTTAGGCCCCAGGTAACCATTGGTCTGCCTTCTGTCTTTGTTTATACAATACACTGAATTTTTTCTCATTATTTACTTGCTTGACTTTTTACTCTGAACAAATATTAGTTTATGAGTGAGAAGACAATTTCTAACACATTGTTTGGTATATGACACAGGAAAGACACTGACCAGCCTGGAAGTCAAGAGAAATAATGGATTCTTTAGTGTCAGACTAAACATAAACTTTGAATATTCTAGATACTAGCAGAACCTAAATTATCCAGTTGCCTTAGATCTTCAGTTAATTCATAAAAATAATTCCAATTAAATTCTTTCTCTGAATTTATAAAGTCAAAAGCATAACCTTTGATCCTTATAAGCACAAAGCAATTTTGATTTTATCATGTCAACATGCCTTAGAAAAATGGTAAGGTCCAGGGGTTTTGTTTCTTTGTTTTTTTCTTGTTGTCATTTTGTTTTGTTTTCCTTTGGTTTGTTAGTTTTGAAGGCCTTCACTTTTTGGTTTGCTGTTTAAAATTATTTTCTTCCGGAGCCAATTTTATTAACCCAGTGAAATATAATTTCAAGGACATTGTGTCTTACCCACACCCTCCAAGGTATGTTTTATATAATAAGGCAATGTTGTTAAAATCAGGATAATTTTATTTTTAAAAAATGTATATATCTAGCATCTCTCAAAAGAAAATCCTTAGATCTAGCAGTACATGGCCCAAGTTTCCACAGCTGGAGCAAGTTGTGGCCATCCACTTTAGATAGAATATGTTCTTTGGTTTGCCAAGGCCCCACCTATTCCCTATTGAATCACATCACAACTGCTTCATTCTTGTAAGCTCCTTATCTAGCCCTGTTGGACACTTGAGTTTGTTTATGTATTTATTTATATATAAATTTTTATTTTATATATATATATATATATATATATATATATATCTGTATAACCACAACCACAGATGTGTGCATATTAAAATTTAACTATTTTCCATAGTTAAATTTTGGCAGGGATACTACAAATTGATGTTGTAGTATCAATTGGCAGGGATACTACAAATTGATGTTGCCAAGGCCCCACCTATTCCCTATTGAATCACACCACAATAGCTTCATTCTTATAAGCTCCTTCTCTAGCCTTTCTGGACACTTGAGTTTGTTTATTTAGCCTTAGTAAAGTAAAGCTCACTAATGTTAAAGTTACAGGTATCCTCCCCAACACATAAATAGCGAATACACTACCATTTCTATCTCCCCACACTTCCAACGTTTAATTTTGGTTAGATTATTTCTTTTTCATTATCATGACTATGTAAACAATATCCACAGATAAGCTTTATAGTATCCTCTGATTCTTTTTTCATTCCTACTCAACTTTTTATTTTCCCTGAAATTAATAATTTTATGAGTTATAATTTTTAATGTTTTTATTGTAGTTTTGGTTGCATAATACCATATATTTATCATTAATTCATTCCCAAGCTCTTAAAAAGTTGCTTAAATCTCCTTTTCGTATGTTCAGATGAATCCAGTATTCTTTTAATTTCATTTTCTTCAAGAAATCTATCCTAGGGTCTTGTGATCTGCTCTGTGTTGGAAATTGTTGCCCTTTATGTTACATGCACAGCTCAGGGATCTTGCTGCAGATTCCCTTTTCTTCTGTCTTGTGCTGAATTCCCTTGATTCCTAAATCCTATGTTTTCCTCTTTCACAATTTATACCTTTATTTTTTGTGGAGCACATCCTCTAGTAGCTTCCTGAGAAAAAGTGTGCATCGAGTGAACTCTTTGAGACCTTGCATATCTTAAAATGTTTTTAGTATATACATAGATTCAGTTGATGGGGTGGCTCGTTCAGTAATCAGGCTACATTAGGCTATGCTACAGCAACATATCCCTAAAGTCTTAGTGGCTTAATATGAGAGGAGTTTATTTCTACTTGCATCCCAGACCAAAGCAGGCCAGCTAACACTCACACAAGGCTACTTTCATTGGGCAGTTCCAGAAGTTGGGAGTCCTTCACTCCAGCTGTCAGAATGAGGCGGTGAGAGTGCAGAGAAGGCACTACTACTCTTAATTGTCTCAGACTAGAAGTGGCTTCTTATCCCATTCATACTCCTTTTGTGACTATTATTTATACTATCTGGTCTAAGTCCACAGGGACTGGCAAATGTAGAGATGAATATTTGTTTACTTCATATGTTCTGACACAGTGAAGTTGAGAATTCTGGGTTGGAATTCTTTTCTCTCTCTCTTTTTTTTTTTTTTTTTTTGAGACGGAGTCTCATTCTGTCACCCAGGATGGAGTGCAGTGGCATGATCTCGGCTCTCTGCAACCTCCACCTCCTGGGTTCAAGTGATTCTTCTGTCTCAGCCTTCTGAGTAGCTGGGATTACAGGCATGCGCCACCACGCCTGGCTAATTTTTGTATTTTTAGTAGAGATGGGGTTTCACCTTGTTGGTCAGGCTGGTCTCAAACTCCTGACCTGGTGATCTGCCCTCTGTGGCCTCCCAAAGTGCTGGGATTACAGGCGTGTTCCACTATGCCCAGCTAATTTTTGTATTTTTAGTAGAGACAGCATTTCACCATGTTGGTCAGGCTGGTCTTGAACACCTGACCTGGTGATCCATCCTCTTCGCCTCCTAAAGTGCTGGGATTACAGGCGTGAGCCACCATGCCCGGCCTCTTTTCTCTTTTGAATGTGGTAGGCACTGCTCTGTGTCTTCCGACTTCCAGTCTCCCAAATTGCTGGTGAGAAACCAGTTTAATTATTGACTCTTGGGTATGACTACTTCCTGTCTTCTGAGCACAGAAACACATAGGATTTTCACTTTGTTTCCAGTTTTTGTAGGCTGAATTGTGTCCCCTGCCCCACTTTCCACCAAAATTCACTCAGTGAAGCCCTAACCCCCAGTAGTTTAGAATATGACTGTATTTAGACGTGGGGCCTTTAAAGAGGTAATTAAGGTAAAATGAGGTCTAATGGGCAATTCTTAACCTAATATGACTGGTGTCCCTTTAAGAAGAGGAGACGAGGACACAGACAACACTGACCAAGGGAAGACAGTATGAGGACACAACTAGAAGGCAGCCATCTGTGAGCTAAGGAGAGAAGCATCAGGAAAAAACGAAACTGCTGTCACCTCGATCTTAGACTTCTAGCATCCAGAACCATGAGAAAACAAATTTCTGCTGTTCAAGCCACCCAGTCTGTGGTGTTTTGTTACTGCAGCTCTAGCAAACTAATATATCAGTATTTTAAAATCGCACAAATAATGTGCCTTGGGATGGGTCTAACTCCATTCTTTTTTTTTTTTTTTTTCACTCAAGTAGTCTCTTACAATCTGAGAACTCATGTCCTTGGATTTTCTTGAATTATTTTATTGATTATTTCCTTTCTTCTCTTATCTCTGTTGCTCTTTGTGGATCTCCTCTTATTTAGATGTTGGACTTCTTATTTTAGTCCTTTAATTTTTTTCTTTTTCTTTTCTAACTCATTTTCTATATTTTTGCTTTGCTTACTGGGAGATTGGCTCAAATTTATCATCCAAACTTTCTCTGAATTTTTTATTCTACTATTATTTATTGTTCAAATTTCCCAGAGCTCCCTTTTTGTTTCTTGAATGTCCCTTTCTGAAATAGCATAAGACTGGTTCGTGGGTGCAATACAATATCTCCTCTTACACCTCTGTGGATATTTTTTAAAGTTGTGAATCAATTGAAACTTTTTACTTTTTACTTTTATTGGTACATAATAGGTATTTATATTTATGGGGAACATAAGATTTTTTTTTTTTTTTTTGAGACGGAGTTGTGCTCTTGTTGCCCAGGCTGGAGTGCAATGGTGCGGTCTCGGCTCACTGCAACCTCCGCCTCCCAGGTTCAAGTGATTCTCCTGCCTCAGCCTCCCGAGTAGCTTGGATTACAGGAATGAGCCACCATGCCCAGCTAACTTTGTATTTTTAGTAGAGACGGGTTTCTCCATGTTAGTCAGGCTGGTCTCAAACTCCCGACCTCAGGTGATCTGCCCACCTCAGCCTCCCAAAGTGCTGGGATTACAGGCATGAGCCATGTGCCCGGCAGGTATTTTAATGCAAGTATACAATGTGTGATAACCAAATCCAGGTAAATGGTATATCCGTTGCCTCAAGCATTTATCCTTTTTTTGTGTAACTAACATGCCAATTATACTCTTTTAGTTACTTTAAATGTACGGTAAATTATTGTTGACTGTAGTCACCCTGTTGTGCTAGCAACTATTAGATTTATTCATTCTATCTAACTATATTTTTGTACTCATTAACCACCCACCTCCCACCACAACTACCCTTCCAGCCTCTGGTAACCATCATCCTACTCTATCTCCCTGAGTTCAACTGTTTTCATTTTTGGGTCCCACAAATGAGTGAGAACATGTGAAATTTGCTTTTTTGGGCCTGGCTTATTTCACTTAACATAAGGTCCTCCAGTTCCAACCATGTTGTTGCAAATGACATTTCTCATTCTTTTTTATGGCTGAATAGTACTCCATTGTGTATATGTACCACATTTTAAAAAAATCTATTCATCTGTTGATGGACACTTAAGTTGCTTCCAAATCTTGGCTATTATGAATAGTGCTACAGTAAACATGAGAGTGCAGATATCTTTTCAATATACTGATTTCCTTTCTTTGGGGTATATATCTAGCAGTGGGATTGTTGAATTATATGATGGTTCTATTTTTAGTCTTTAGAGGAACCTCCATACTGTTCTCCATAGTGGCTGTACTACGCTCTGTGGATATTAATAATAGTTTTCTTCTCCCAGCATAGTCTTGGTTAGTTCCAAATTATTTTCTTTGTTTGTTTGTTTGCTTTGGTCTCTACCTTTCATGCTGGTAGTTCCCCTTAGATGTCTGATAATCTTTGGTAGTCTATTCAAATTTAGGAGTGAGGTACTAAAAGACCTTATTGGAAGTTCTGATTCCATGAATGAAACTTCTTGTCCACCAGCTTCAACTGGGTCATCTGGCTGGGCCATTTAGTTGGGTCATTCTCGACATCAGCATCTTTATGTCTTTCCTCTGGAAGTGGTCAGATACCCCAGAGAATAATTTTCTAATCTCTAGTGGTCTGGAATTAGAATGGGGTAAAAGACATGGGGTTCTGTTAGGTTATAAATGTTCCCATAAATTTTCACTACCCCTTCATTTATATTACTGAACTCCATCCCCAAATGTGCCAAATGTTCTCCAGGAAGTAACTTTCTCTATTTACCTTTTCCAGCCTCTGCCAGGCTGGGAGAGGGACCATTATCTGGCTATACAGGTTTGAAGAGAGGATGTAGGGATCTAACAACTTCTTATACAGACTTATAACCCAATCCTCCTATTTTTGACCCTACCTTTATCCCCATTTTCAGTGGTATCTGGACATTTGGAAGCTGTTTGGGAGGTCTATGATGTAGTCAGGTACTTCTGAGTTTTCTCCAAGACAAATTTAGGGATCATCTTTCTCAGGTGTGTTACCTCTTGTCTATATGGCTTCTGAATTCCACAACCTTGTTGTTCTTGTCTTCCTTTCTAATTTCATCATCATTGTGGGTTTCTGCCTTAAAAAAATAATCCCTTTACTGTCATTTTATTAGGTTTCAGAAGAAAGCCAAAGTAAGTGCATTTCTGTAATTGATCACCTCTACTCAGTAGTCTATTTTGCATTTTTACAAGGAAATGACAAGTTTACTCAGGAGTGTTTGAAGACAAACAGGCCTGCTTTATAATTTTGCTACTGGCCATCCCTACCTTCAGTGCACTTGGTCAACAATTACGTCCACAAAACAGAAATTACAACTCTGACTCGTGCTTTTATCTGAGGAACCACAAGTCATTCACTTTTATGGTTCACTTGTCAACTGTAAGGGAAACTCTAACTGCTAATAACTTTAACTATATAGCCAAAAGGATCTTGTAAAACTCTTCCTATCTTCCTAGCTTTAGTCTTTGCATATAGTTCAAGGTTACGACTAACACTCCACGACACCTGATTTTCTTCTGAAATACCAAAACCTCCCACTTTTGAGTGTTCAGTGTGTGCTAGAGACTGGGATAGGTGCATTTACATGGATGATCCCATTTAATCCTCCCCAAAACTTACAGTGTCTGGGCCAGGTGCGGTGGCTCACACCTGTAATCCCAGCACTTTGGGAGGCCAAGGCAGGCGGATCATCTGAGATCAGGAGTTCGAGACCAGCCTGGCCAATATGGTGAAACCCCGTCTCTACAAAAAATACAAAAATTAGCCAGGCATGGTGGCGTGCGCCTGTAGTCCCAGCTACTCTGGAAGCTGAGGCAGGAGAATCGCTTGAACCCAGGAGGCAGAGGTTGCAGTGAGCCAAGATTGAGGCACTGCACTCCAGCCTGGGCAACAGAGCAAGACTCCGTCTCAAAACAACAACAACAACAACAAAACCCTTATAGTGTCCATGTTATTATCTGTATTTTACAAAGAGGAAAATTGAGGCTCTGAAAAGTTAAAGGATTTGTTCAACTTAACACGTCTATTAAGTGGTGAAACTAGGGTTTGAATCCAAGTCAGCCTTACTCCCAACCACTTTCCACTTCATTATGTTGTCTTATTGATGACTTCCTGCCAGGACTTCCCAAGTGTTCATTTTCATGTCTGCAGCTCATTTAATTACTTTTAGTTCCTTTTTCATTTTCCAATCCAGTCATCTATACTATTACCCTATGTCAGTGAATGACATCCAGTTGGTTCAGTATTTCAAAATTTCTGGCCCACCTTCTCTTCTCATCTGTATCTGGTTACCTTTTTATCCACCTTATATATCATTTCCTAGGAAAGATTCCATGACCTCCCAAGGATTGACTTTGTACTTTTCATGTGCTTTTACAGCACAAACAGAATCCTCTTTGCCCTATCAAAGTAGTAATTACCAGGTATAGAAATTATCTGTTTGCTTATTTACTCCCCAACTACACTAGGCTCCTAAGGACTGTGGCAATATTCATCTTATTTATGAGTCATATCTACAGCCTAGCACAGTGCCTGGCACATAGCAGGTGCTCACTACATATTTTGTTGAATGAATGCATAAATGAATGAGGTTACACACATACCTCTATGACATAGTTTGGATATTAGTTCCCTCCAAATATCATGTTGAAATTTCATCCCTAATGTGGGAGGTGGGGCCTAGTTGGAGGTGTTTGGGTCAGGGGGGCAGATCCCTCATGAGTTGCTTGGTGTCATTATGTTAGGATTGAGTGAATTCTCACTCTTAGTTCCTGTGGGATCTGGCTGCCTAAAAGAGCATGGCACTCCTCCCCTCTCTCTTGCTCCCTCCCTTGCCATGTGACATGCCTGCTCTCTCTTGGCCTCCCCCCATGGTTAGAAACTTCATGAGGTCCTCACCAGAAGCAGATGCTGGTGCCATGCTTCTTGCAGAGCCTGAAGAACCGTGAGTCAAATAAATGTCTTATTTTATTAAATTACCCAGCCTCAGATATTCCTTTATAACAATGCAAAATGGATTAAGACACTCGTATTTATTAGTCCATTCTCACAGTGCTTGGCTATTCATAAACGAAAGAGATTTAATTGACTCATAGTTCGGGGAGGCCTCAGGAAACTTACAATCATGGCGGAACGGGAAGCAAACACATCCTTCTTCACATGGCAGCAGCAAGGAGAGGTGCTGAGCAAAAGGGGGAAAAGTCCTGGATAAAACCATCAGATCTCATGAGAACTCACTCACTATCATGAGAATAGCAGCATGGGCTAACCGCCCCCATGATTCAATTACCCCCCACTGGGTAACATGTGGGGATTATGGGAACTACAATTCAAGATGAGATTTGGGGGGGACACAGCCAAACCATATCACACTCTGTCTGAATTATTAATAAAATATTTTCTAATCTAAAGTAATGTTCCAATGATATTTTAGCATTTGACACTAAGTTTCAAAAATTTAAATTTAAATGAAAGAGGGTCTTAAATCTCTGTTGCAAAAAGGACTCAGCTGAATAATCTGTGGCACAGGTTTAAATCGCCTTGGACCACACCGCCATGTTCCAGGGCTCACCAGGAGCCATCGAGATGAGAGACCACCCAGCCCTTGTGACTTGACTAAGAAATTAAATCCATATTATCAGCACGTTTTTAACTGGATGTGATATAAGGTTAACATATTTTGTAATCATTGTATTTATAAATATTTTGTCTAAATGTTATTGTATTCCAAGTTTTCCAAAAGAATCAACCAAATACAAGTTATAAATAAACACTATATTTGTTACGGGAGTTAAGCTAACCACATTTATAACCCAGATTTAGATACACAAGAAAATCAGTTTTTAAAGTTTTGTTTAATAGAAAGCAGTGTAATACATCAAACATTAAACAACGAAAAATGTGTATGAATATTTATTTATTTATTTATTATTTTTTTTTTAAGCAGAGTCTGGCTCTGTCGCCCAGGCTGGAGTGCAGTGGCACGATCTTGGCTCACTGCAAGCTCTGCCTCCCTGGTTCATGCCATTCTCTTGCCTCAGCCTCCCGAGTAGCTGGGACTACAGGTGCCCGCCACCACACCCGGCTAATTTTTTGTATTTTTAGTAGAGACGGGGTTTCACCATGTTAGCCAGGATGGTCTCGATCTCCTGACCTCGTGATCCACCCGCCTCGGCCTCCCAAAGTGCTAGGATTACAGGCGTGAGCCACCGCGCCCGGCCATGAATATTTATTTTCACACACAAAAGTCCCTCAGACATTGATTCTTAAATTCAAAACACCAAAGGCATTGTATATGCCTTTTCATGTTTTCTAATTGTGAGGAAAATAAATTTTACTTAAAATGCTAATATTTGAATAAAGTATGCATTCATAATTATGTTCTTGTCTTTAAAGTTAATTTTTCAAACAGAACTAAATCAGTTTTATCTTCAGTAGATCTTTTAGAAAGGAAGCAATCCTACCTCATCTAATTAGAGTTTAGTCCTACTAGGAAGATACACTACAAATATTTATTGTGGCAATCTTTGAATAGCAAAATGAAAGGTGATTTTGGTTTCCTTTTCTATATGTTCTTGTATTATATTTTTCAGGTTTTTCTCTAAGTTCTTTTCTGTGATTTTTAAATCAGGGAGGAAAAATTCATTCAGTCTAAACACTTAATATTTCTTCTACAAGAAGTATCCTCATGGCTATTTTGTTATTTCGTTTCACTTAGGGGAAAATGGATTTGTTGGCCTCAAATAGCTGCTTTATTAGATGCAATGAAGCAGGGGACATAGAAGCAAAAAGTAAAACAGCAGGAGAAGAAGAAATGATGAAGGTAATGATGACATTTTATACAGATGACTGCATTCACACATGCGATGTGACTGTATCTCTTTAAAATGTTAAGTCATCATTTACTGTCACTTTGAAGATTTACTTAATAGCTTTTTATAATGTGGTGTTTCAAATAGACTCATTTTTAATTACAAATCGCATAGTTGATGGCTTGTTTATACAATGTGGTAGAGAAATCAGTGCATCTAGGAGCTACCTTGCCATTATCTCCATGGATTAGTATCTTTTACTGGTAGTTCCACATGCTCTTTTTATGCTTTCATTTTCTTGTTTTCTTGCTTGTATTTTAAAATCTAATTTTTAAAATAGATAACATGTACACATGGTCCAACATTTTTAAATAAAAGCATACGAAGATGAAGACATATGCCTGCCATGCATCTTGCTCACCTGTGTCCCAGCTCCTGTTCCTCTTTCCCTTTGTTTTGTTTTTTTATAGCCTCCTAAAATTTCTTTATAAACATATGAATATATTTATAATTTTCAACTGTCTTACACTAAAGGCAGCCTCCTCTATAGTTTTCTCGACTTTGATTTTTTTTTCTTTAAAATTGTATCTTGGAGAGTTTTCTACTATTAGTTTGAATGTAGAAAGCTTTCTCTTTTTCTTGCTTCTCCTCTCTTTCTCTCTCTCTCTTTTTTAACGCCACATAATATTCCATTTTAGGGATGTACCTTTATTTATTTAGTCTTTTATAGATGGAAATTTAGGCTGTTTCCAGTCTTTTGCTCTTATAAACAGTGCTGCAGTACATAACATTGAATATGCATCAATTTGTAGATGTGCGGGTGGACCTGAAGATAAATTTCAAGAAGCAGAATTACCAGGTCGGGGTATACGCATTTGTATTTATGTAATGCTTGAGCTTCTGTGATGATAATCACTCTATGAAACATAAAAAATCATAGCAGAACTTCTGGGGCCTTAGCCCTTACATTTAAAAAATATTTTTAGTAATAGTACCCATCTTCTTTGCATTAGGAGAAACATGAATCACATAAAACATGATTTTTATTTTATTTTTAAAATTTGTGTGCGTCACTAAGCTGGAAATAAAAGTTCCTTATTCCAGGCTAAATTCCCTCATCCGTAGTCAGACGCGTTATCCATTACACCAGTGGCCTGTGCCCTCCCTAATCCTACTCTTTGTTTTACATCATTGTAAAAGTTACACAGACATCTTCATATCAAGGTGAAATTCTAAATAATACTGTTAATATAACCTAGATAAATCAGGTAGTTAACTGGAATTTGATGAAAACATTTAAGGCTTAATTTTTTAGACTCACAAAAGCCACTGATCTTTAATGATAAACATATATCAGGATGTGTCTAAAGAATAACTCCCCCCTTCTTGACACATGGCTTTTCTGTGTCTTGGCATTCCATCGCAGTACTGAGCATCCTGAACCTTGCTTTGTTTGTCTCTTTTGGGAATCACAGGTTGCATCCAGTCTGACCCAGATTTACTCTGTCAGGCATTGTGGGGGCCAGAGTGGAAGGCTCTAAGAGAGGGGGCAAATGCCTTTTCTAAAACGGCCTTTGTTCTTATAATCAGAGCATAAAAATTTATGTTACATTTTTCTCTACTACCAGTGTAATTTAAAAGCATCTATCAATTCTCTGTATGTGCTTCATGTTAGATTTCCGGTCATATGTTTGATTTTCTTTTTAGAATAGTCTTGATTTCAGATAATTTCAAATCTAAAGCTCAAACAATTTCAATCTAAAATGTAGGTATTTTCTTACAGTTAGAGAAGTGAAGTGTTATATTTTTTCGTTGCATGCATCCGGCACATGCGTTGCAGTCTTGAATTTCCATAATGCTCCTGTGAGGTGGATGTGAGCTCAGCCTTACAGACAGTAAGACAGCCTCTGACCCTCCTTACATCCTCGTGGTTTTTGTCAGTCAGTTCATGGAAATCACAGTGATTTCAAGGTGTGGCAAGACAGGATGTGTACCCAGGCCCAGCTGACTCCAGAGGCCAGTCTCAGTATTTCATAGCACATTGCTTCTCAGGAAACAGGTCATGGAGGAAATGCAGATGGGTTTGTGACTTACATTTAATTTAATTTATTTATATTTTATTGTATCATGTTTAAATTATTTTTCATCTGGATATCATCACAAAAGTGTTATTGAAGGCAACAATTGCAAATATATGTGCAGTGCTTTGCACTTATACAAAGATACAAAGATACTTACACAAAGATTGCATTTTTCACTATTTAAAGCAATTTTCAGATGAAATACAAAGTTTTCTGGGTCTCTTTGGTTAGTCAAGTACTTGGAAGCTCTGAACAGTGATTATTTAGGACTCTTTTCGTACCATTTAATTGCAGGCTCTCCTAATCTCTGTCAGCCCTTCACCTTTATGACCTTGCCTTATCTACCAGAACACAGATCCCTCTTACTAAAGGTAGCATTGTGCTACAGGCTCTAGCAGGGAATGTTTTCAGGTCTGGGACCCCTCTAATCAAAACTGTCACAAAGATGTCATTGGCACAAACACGTTATTTGTCATCACTTTCTAAGCAGCCCTGGAACTAGACTCTGGCCACAGAGATCCCTTAGGAGACATGAGTCCTTACCATTGCCAATTACCTGTTCTGTGGGCGATCCTAATTGTTGAATGCAGATCAATTAACTTATGACATGTGATAGTAAACATCTATCCAAACTTAGGAGGATATAAGAAGCTAGTAAAAGAGGTGGGTTCCAATTAATTAAAAACAAGTTGTGTAATGTTAAAAGTTTTAATACTTTGGTAATAGTCTGTGCAATCTAAAATAGCTATTAAGCTTTCAATCTGATCAAATGAACACTTGTCTACTAGGGATAATTTGATCCTAGTGTATTGACTTGGAGGACAAAATTAAATTAGTTAATGATTGCTTTACTGCCTAACAGATCTGATGTGTAAAATGTTTCTGAAATAATTTTGTCTGTAGTGTTTCTGACACAAGGGCTGTGGAGGAAGCATGTGATAGCACTTACTCATATAGATTATATATATGAAGTAAAAACACATAGCCAGAACCTGTCTTTTTCTGAATATAGTTGCTCAGTTAATTTTTTCTTCTGCATAAGAAATCATCTCGAATGTTCTTATGTGATACGTAAAGTGGGGAAGGTGGAAGATAAACATATAACCCATTGGATTCTCTTTTCCAATATCTAGATTAGATCCTGTGCTGAAAGAGAAACCAAGAAAAAAGATGACATTCCAGAAGAAGACAAAGGAAATGTAAAACAATGTGAAATCAATTATGTGTATGTATGCTTTTCCTTTTAGACCTACAGATTTGACAGTGAAGTGCTTCTCAAAGTGCTTTCAAAATAAATTACCTAATTAGCTGGGGATGGTGGTGCATGCATGTAGGCCCAGCTACTCGGGAGGCTGAGACAGGAGGATTGTTTGAGCCCAGGAGTTCAAGGCTGCAGTGAGCTCTGATCACCACTGCATTCCAGCCTGGGTGACAGAGCAAGACCCCGTCTGAAAAAATGAAAACTGATGGACAAGAAGAGGCAACACAATGTAGCCTCTGGGACAGAGCACTGAGCTAAATGCTTTTCTTTTCTTGAGGGTTCAGTTTTCCTAATCATCCTACCAGCTCCCAAAACTAGTCAGTCGGGTTAGTCAATCTCTCTATTCATTCATACAATGGGAGTGATGCCAGTCAAAGGCTGTGCTATGGCCAGGACACAGGGGACTCCAGCCAGCATGCCCTAATAGAAATGGGGCCTTGTGCTACCCAGTCAATGAGTGGCCCTCCTCTTGAGAGGTCACCTTTGTTGTTCAAAAGCTCCAGCTTATTTAAAAAAATATAATTAGACTTTTTTTTTCTCCCCCAAGACGGAGTCTCGCTCTGTCCCCCAGACTGGAGTGCAGTGCCATGATCTCGGCTCATCGCAACCTCCACCTCCCAGGTTCATGTGATTCTCCTGCCTCAGCCTCCCGAGTAGCTGGGACTACAGGCACACGCCACTACGCTCGGCTAATTTTTGTATTTTTAGTAGAGACGGGGTTTCACCATGTTGGCCAGGCTGTTCTCGAACTCCTGACCTCGAGTGATCTGCCTGCCTTGGCCTCCCAAAGTGCTGGGATTGCAGGCATGAGCCACTGCGCCTGGCCTACAATTAGACTTTTTTAATAAGTGAAAAAGAAATTAACAGTATTTATAAATTTAATAGTAAATATGTATAATCAGAGTTTGAGGTTTTTTCAATGAAGGCATTTTCTTTGCAGAAAGAAATTTCAGAGCTTCCAAGACCACAAACTTAAAATAAGTCAAGAAGCAGTAAAATTCTTAAAAAGACGCAGAAAGATGGATTTTTGCATGAGACGCTTCTGGACAGGTAGCTATTTATGTACTTATTTCCACTATTTTCAGTAGCCAATAGAAATGGCATATAGAAAACCTACATTCTCTTAAATTACTGTAGTTTTCACATTTTTGTCTTTATTTCTAATTTATGAGTGTGGCAATATTACCTAGAGAGGACATCATGAGTTTGGGAAAAGACTTTCAAGAAAGAATATCTAAAAATTATAACCGATTCTAAACATATACTTTAAGAAATTCAGGTTTGACTGTATCTACTTCATAAATTTATCATTATCTTTTTATAACTATTAGAACCAGAGTTAGAAAGAAGCAGTTTGACTAATATAAAAATTATGTGGATTCTGTTAGAGTAGTTCAGGTTCCTTAAAATAAGCATAGATCAACTAAAAAACTAAGTATAAAAGCTAAACAAGTGAAATTGAAGCAGTTTTACTGTAAGATTTGGAAGAGTGCAGGATGTTTATCATAGCACATTATTAATATTTATTACTATTCCTATGTAGATAAGTGATGTCCTAGATTTACAACATAGAAAAACAGGTAGAGACGTTTAGCTGTGAGTGTACAAGTATAAATCAATTAAGTGCCAGATTTTGATAATCACCAGCCGCTCATTCAAGTCCTATGTTGGAAAGTTACTCTTACCCTTTTTTTACATTACTTGATAAAGTCAATGTTTAATTACGTATTTCCTGTTAACTAGCTGGTAGAGTTCATACCTAAAGTCAGTAAATAACGTTAAGAACTTTTTCCAGCTGAGCAAATGAGTATGTATCTAGTTGTAAGAAATCAAGAAGAGGATATAAAATATAATCAGGATGTGGAGTCTAAAACGGAATAAGCTCTATGTCCTGTAACTTTTTTCACTTGTAATAATACAGTGTTCTCACCCTGTTAAATGGAAATTTAGAGCACCCTTAAATTCCAGAATAATTAAAATTGCTATTTGGATTGAAAAAGCCCTTAGGCAACATTTATTGAATATTAGGAAATAACTTTTATAAGATTAGAATCCATTTTTTATAGAAACCAAATTTAAAAGTATACATATTTTAATATAAGTGTTGTGGTAATACACTAACCAAAATTGAACACACAGTTTTAAAGCTTTTTATATTTAGTAGCAGTTGAATATATATGACATGTTTTACATAGATTAATTTTACTATTTTTCTTTATTTAAACAAGAGAACCAAATTGAAAGCTGACAGATACTGCAAATGACTGGGATTTTTGTTTCTGCCTTATCTTTTTGTGTTTTTTTTCTGAATAAAATATTCAGAGGAAATGCTTTTACAGAGTTCTTGAGTTGTTGTGAACTTATTGTTTAGCTAGTAGCTAGTTTAACCAGGATTAAACAAGTTTAATCAGGATTCTTCATGGATGTACTTTTTAGCTAACTACAGTTTTTCACATGGAAATGAAACTTACAGTAAACACTTAACGTACCACAGAATTTTTTTCTGGATTTCTGGTCCTGAAGCATGAAGTGTACTAGAAACCAATTCTTCCTGCGCTACTTGTGGAATCTTTCTTACTGGATCATAATCTTACTTTACTTTATACAATAGATGCTTAATCAGTGCCTTTAATAGGAAGTTAGAAACTCCCAATCCAATCAACAAGGCTTTGATTCTACCTCCTAAGTACTACCCAGATCACAGACAATCCAAATATCAGAACTAGGGGGCTGGGCAGAGAGGACAAATCATCTATTAGGGAGTGGGACAGAAAGTGGAAACATTACAAAGGAGCAAGTAGGCTCAGAACAGAGGGGAGAGTAATACTGGGGAAACTCCCTACTGAGGACAGGTTTGCCACAGTGGATATGTATGTGATGCTTTTGTCCTCATGGGCTGGAATGGAAGCTGATAAAGAAGTTCAGACGCTACGTGTTGCTTAGGTCTGCTTTGTTGAAGCATGTCTCTTTCAGAGTTCCTAAACACAATATTCCCGTGGCATCTAATCCCAGTGAGTGCTCCAAATCCAGGCTGTGTATCAGATGCCACGGGAAATTCTGCCTCAGGACTGAGGTTGGTTCAAGCATCTGGATGACGTCAAAAGTCCACGTTGTGTGCTGGCCTAACCTGAAAGACCCTATCTAGTTCTAGCCTTTAAATTCCTTCTGTCACCAAATCTAGAGTTACATGGCATCTGTACAAGCTAGGTAGCTGAGGCATGGGATCAGCTCTATAAAGGAGCTTTTGGAGCTTTTGTTGTAGGTCTAGCTCCAACTTGGCACTCCAGTTCCAATAGCTGGACTTTCTCTCATCGTGTGTTCTGATCCTTGGATTGGGAACAAAGTAACCACTCTGATCTCACAAAGCAGTGGTTCCAGTTCCCAACTGGTGACTATTTTGCCTCCCAGGGGACATTTTCGTTTTCACAACTGGAATACGGTCTTAGAGAGTAGAGGCTAGGGATGCTGCGAAGCATGTGGCAGAATCCTGTTCCGCCCAGAATGCTAACAGTGCCAAGGTTATGGAGCCTTCCCACCCGAGGGCTTGGTCTATTCCTTGCTTTTGCCAGCTCCCTAACCCTTAAACACAACAGTTCAAATCTATATGCATAAGCATCTCCTAGGGACCTGCACGTTTCCAATATCGACTACTGAGACCCATCCGTAGAGATGCAGGCTTAGGAGGTCTAGGATTGGGCTCAAAATTTGCATTTTAACAAGTACTCCAGGTCATTCTGAAGCAAGTGATACAAACCACAGAATGAGGAACACCGCCTTCAAGAGACTGAATCTTGCTTCCCAACACTAGCTTGGTATCTGAGACCATCTGCGTGCTGACTGGCTTTCCTGGCACAAACATTCTGCATGTAGGCACAGTGTGTTCCTGGACTCCACGTCAACCCTCATGTTCCCTTGGTTCCTGTCCCCAGTCCAGCAAGCAGAACTGATTATAGATCTTGACAACAGAAGATACAGATTTAAAATAACTTGCCTGTTCCCGTGGACTTTATCCACTAGTGAAGGAGGACAAGTGGACAAGGGGAGAGGGTAGGTGGGGGCTCCTTCCCTATTCCTCCCATTCCACTTTATACAAACCCCAGCTAGACCACTGGGAGAGCAACGGGGGTTAAGAATGACTCCATCTAAATATTGTCATCTGGTCCACTCTTCTTCCATCTTGTACACAAGGATATCATGAGTTTTGTTTAAATTACTGGGAATTTCGTCTGCTCAGTGTTTGTTTTGTCTGCAGCCATTCCCAGAATTCTAGGACAAGACTAGCTTCTTTGCCAACGGGGTGAACAGGAAGGAACCCAAGTAGGAATTGCCTTTTTAAAAAAATACCTTCCCACCCTCTTAATTACGTAATGCATGCATTTTTATAGCTTTTTTGCTTATTCCATTACCTGAGGTCAGCCACTGATATTTAACCCATCCTTAGCCTCGGAGGAGGGCAGAGGAGCACTCGTCATATTGATTTCGCTAGCGGTGACATGATTTCCTCCTGTGCCACTCAAATTTCTCTCCTTCTTTAACTTGATGCTCAGTAGGTTGTGTTTCACTCGTCTTTGCAGATTGTTAGGAAGATGAGAATTAGCTTCCATTTTTGATGTTGCCATAGAGAAGACTCCATGGTAATGTTTATTTGCACAATCAACTTTTTCTTTTCCCCCAGAAATTGCAAATTCTTATGTGAGAGACAGCTTTCCGGAGTCTGCAAGCATAGATTATCGTCTCTCTTTTGATGGTAAATTTCTTATATCCTCACCAACAATAAAATACTTACATATAATTTTGGCATGTCATATTGATTGCCAACTACAAGTAAGAATATTCCTTGATTTTAAATCTAGATTAATTATGAAAATTTGAGTAGCCACAAAAAATTATTGTGTACAAATTTATAGACCTCTTCTTAGGATTAAATGAGTTAATATTAACTAATATTTATTGTGTAGTTAAGGTATGGCAGAAGCTTCCTCTGTACTATTTCATTTTATACTTAAAACAATATTCCATGCAAAATGCTATAATTTCCCTATACCTCCAATTTGCACATGATAAAACTGGGCCTCGTAAAGTTTTCACCCCAGAGTTCTCTGCTTAGTAAGAAGTAGAAGGAAGTCTAAACCTAGGTCATCTGATTTCAGAGCCCATATAGTTAAAATGCTCTAAATGCAGCTTCCCATGGTGATGGTGACTATGAGAGCCTGTCACATATGATGTAGGACCCCAGTGCTTCCCTGTAACATGTGCAAGATTCCCGTGATGACGGTGACTATGAAAGCCTGTCACATACGATGTAGGACCCCAGTGCTTCCCTGTAACATGTGCAAGATTCCCGTGATGACGGTGACTATGAAAGCCTGTCACATACGATGTAGGACAGTGCTTCCCTGTAACATGCGCAAGATTCCCATGATGATGGTGACTATGAGCCTTTCACATATGATGTAGGACAGTGCTTCCTCTGTAACATGCACAAGATTCCCGTGATGATGGTGACTATGAGAGCCTGTCACATATGATGTAGGGCCCCACTGCTTCCTCTGTAACATGCTCAAGATTCCCGTGATGATGGTGACTATGAAAGCCTGTCACATACGATGTAGGACAGTGCTTCCCTGTAACATGCAGAAGATTCCCGTGATGATGGTGACTATGAGAGCCCGTCACATATGATGTAGGACAGTGCTTCCCTGTAACATGTACAAGATGGTGAGTATGAGAGCCTGTCACATATGATGTAGGACAGTGCTTCCTCTGTAATATGCACAAGATTCACCCGTGGATCTTATTAAAATGGAAACTCATAGACCACACTTTGACTAGCGAAGATAGGAGCATTTAAATGGATGTCTTGGTGACAGTGCTAAGATGCTACTGTTCATGTGGGCACTGGCTCACCACATTAACGAAGCTTAGGACCTCAAGTCCCGGCTGGAAAAGAAATACAGATACATAGGATGTGACTGTGCATATGGAATGTCTGTTGTGTTCTGGACATTGTACTAGACACTAGAGATAAAAAGTCAAATATCCCTTGCCTCTATCTGAAAGGAGCTTCCTACTCAGTGGCTTCTGACTGCAGTGTATATGTTCTTTTCTGTCCTGGGTGGGTGAGCTCTATCTCAATGTTGGTAACTGAACACTGCCCAATGGGTTTGATGAGGGAGATCATAGCTAGCTGTGCTCCCACAAAGCTATGACCATAGCATGTCTCGTGATGCCATTTCCCCCTTGTCAGAAGGGTCCCTCCAGTATCATACATGATCCCCATGATTATAAATTCTTCCTCTTTGCACTAAATGTTCCTAAATCTTGCAAAGATAAAAACATAAACCACATTCTCATCATATTAGTTATATAAATATATATGCACCCAATACAGGAGCACCAAGATTCATAAAGCAAGTCCTGAGTGACCTACAAAGAGACTTAGACTCCCACACATTAATAATGGGAGACTTTAACACCCCACTGTCAACATTAGACAGATCAACGATACAGAAAGTCAACAAGGATACCCAGGAATTGAACTCAGCTCTGCACCAAGCGGACCTAATAGACATCTACAGAACTCTCCACCCCAAATCAACAGAATATACATTTTTTTCAGCACCACACCACACCTATTCCAAAATTGACCACATACTTGGAAGTAAAGCTCTCCTCAGCAAATGTAAAAGAACAGAAATTATAACAAACTATATCTCAGACCACAGTGCAATGAAACTAGAACTCAGGATTAAGAATCTCACTCAAAACCGCTCAACTACATGGAATCTGAACAACCTGCTCCTGAATGACTACTAGTTACATAACGAAATGAAGGCAGAAATAAAGATGTTCTTTGAAACCAACGAGAACAAAGACACAACATACCAGAATCTCTGGGACACATTCAAAGCAGTGTGTAGAGGGAAATTTATAGCACTAAATGCCCACAAGAGAAAGCAAGAAAGATCCAAAATTGACACCCTATCATCACAATTAAAAGAACTAGAAAAGCAAGAGCAAACACATTCAAAAGCTAGCAGAAGGCAAGAAATAACTAAAATCAGAGCAGAACTGAAGGAAATAGAGACACAAAAAACCCTTCAAAAAATTAATGAATCCAGGAGCTGGTTTTTTGAAAGGATCAACAAAATTGATAGACCGCTAGCAAGACTAATAAAAAGAGAAGAATCAAATAGACACAATAAAAAATGATAAAGGGGATATCACCACCGATCCCACAGAAATACAAACTACCATCAGAGAATACTACAAACACCTCTACGCAAATAAACTAGAAAATCTAGAAGAAATGGATAAATTCGTCGACACGTACACTCTCCCAAGACTAAACCAGGAAGAAGTTGAATCTCTGAATAGACAATAACAGGATCTGAAATTGTGGCAATAATCAATAGCTTACCCATATTAGTTATATAATAATGATAAAAGTTCCTTACTTTTCTTTCTTTTTTTTTTTTTTTTGAGACGGAGTCTTGCTCTGTTGCCCAGGCTGGAGTGCAGTGGCGCGATCTTGGTTCACTGCAAGCTCCGCCTCCCAGGTTGACAGCATTCTCCTGCCTCAGCCTCCCGAGTAGCTGGGACTACAGGCACCCGCCACAATGCCTGGCTAATTTTTTGTATTTTTAGTAGAGACGGGGTTTCACCGTGTTAGCCAGGATGGTCTTGATCTCCTGACTTTGTGATCCGCCCACCTCAGCCTCCCAAAGTGCTGGGATTACAGGCGTGAGTCACCGCGCCCAGCCCAAGTTCCTTACTTTTCATGTGTTTAATATTTTCTCCCAGTTTATAGAATATATTGATTGAGAATAAATTTTAGCCACGCATATCTATTAAAAACTTCATGATATACTTTGCTATTTTTAAATTTCTTATGCTCTTATAAAATGTGTGTTCTGGACTCATGTTGGCTTCCATTTCTTCCCTCTGGCTTCTGTTAGTTTAGGCTATGAGCAGAGATGGACAAGGTGGCTACTGTAATGGATCAAGGCTATGAGCATCTTGTGAAGTAGGATGTTAAATCTGTAAATATCAGAATGAATCCAAACTTATCAATTCAAAACTGCATTGTAAAACAGCTCAAAAAAGACTAAAAACACAGCTCTACACTTTAGGAGGCTGAGGCAGGCAGATTGCTTGAGCTCAGGAGTTGGAGACAAGTCTAGGAAACATGGAAAAACCCTGTCTGTACAAAAAAATATATTTTTAATTAGCTGGGTATGGTGGTATGAGCCTGTGGTCGCAGCTTTTCAGGAGGCTGAGGTGAGAGGATTGCTTGAGCCTAGAAGGTAGAGGCTGCAGTGAGCTCTGATCACACCACTGCATTCCAGCCTAGGTGACAGAGTGAGACCCGTTTCAAAAACAAACAAACAAAAATAACTAAAAAAAACAGGTCTAAACGAAGGTGGCCAGAAAAGTAGCTCAACTTGTTCCTGTCTGGTTAAATACAAACATAAATGAACTACTTATATGCCCCAGTGGCTTCATAATGCTGAAAGCAAAGTCAATTGTTCTAGCAGGTTCTGGAAAACTTTATCATATCATGGGGTTCAATGAAAATATCAAATCGTAAATAAAATAATCAAATCTGAAAGTGAATCTCGTTTCAAAGACCTCAGAAGCCACTGTGTCAGAAGCTCTTTTCAGATACAGACAAGGGATTATTTGACTCCTTATCTCTGTTGTCTAGCACAATGTCCAGAACACAACAGATATTCCATATGCACAGTCACATCCTATGTATGTGTATTTCTTTTCCAGCAAGGACTAGAGGTCCTAAGCTTTATTTATATGGTGAGCCAGTTCCCAAATGAGCAGGAGAATCTTAGCACAGTTACCTACACACTCATTTCAATGCTCTGGCCCCTTATCCAAGCTAGTCAAAGTGTGGTCTATGGTTTTGCATTTTAAGGAGATCCCCGGGCGAATCTTGTGGCTGTCAAAGGAGGAGAAGCACTGCCGAAAAGGTGAACTAATTTATTGAGGTAGGCTGGCTATTTATTTATTTATCTTGTTGACGGGAAGATTCAAATTGACATACACAATCACCCCCATAAAGATTTCAGGTAAAAAACAAACAAAGGTTTAGATATCAGATGTGTTTTACAATTACCACACCACTCTTTACTACAGCATCCAGTAGCACATTTCCAATAGACTTAGGTGAAAATTTCTATCTCATGAGCCTTCTGTCAGTACTTTTAAAATTGGATACTCAATAAATAGTGGCCAAATTGAATCTCTTACAGGCATCTCACTCAAACTGCAGTCATATTTTCCAATAGGCCCCATAAAAATCCTTGTTCTGGAGCAATCTAATATATTTATCCACCTCTTTAGACACTTAGGTAAGTATAATAATACAAGTTTTTTTTTGTGTGTGTGTATTGGGTACCTTGTGGCCTCTTGCCCAGTTTCTGCAACACCTGAAGCTGAGGAAGTTTAATGTAAATAACATCCAGCAATGTTAGAAATGTTGACTGTTATGTGTCCATCAGGAAAAAAGGATGAATGTTATTGTAGAGGAAATTTTCATTCTGGAAAAAATGCATACTGTTTGAATATTACTTTCATGCTTTCCACAGATATTATACACATATATTATATTCCAAGGGTTATGTTTCAAAGTCATCAAAAATAGAAAATACCTTTTATATTTCTAGCTGAAAATA
This sequence comes from Homo sapiens, assembly GCF_000001405.40. Classification (NCBI taxonomy): domain Eukaryota; kingdom Metazoa; phylum Chordata; class Mammalia; order Primates; family Hominidae; genus Homo; species Homo sapiens. The sequence continues at coordinate 41,225,836 of NC_000009.12, forward strand.
ATAACAGTGATTAGCCTATCTTTGGGGAAATGCGATAAAAATACTAATGACCATCACAACTGATTAAAAGCATAAAATGTGCAATGATTTAAACTACATGTTCTTTATATGAATTATATGCGTAGAAATATAGACACATTTGATAAATTCT